>NC_000002.12:29659374-29812125 GCF_000001405.40 Homo sapiens | reverse complement strand
ACTGTGTGCCTTTTGTGTCTCATACTTGTCCTTCCTTCGGGAACCTCCTCCCTAGGTAACACTTGATAGGCACAAGGAGGCATGAAGAACCTGAATTACTGCCTTTTCAAAACAGGGATTTACCTTGTCATCTTTGCCATGTGTGTTTCACCCCTTCAGTTTTCCTGCCCCTTGCACCCTCTATGCCACCTTTTCCAAGGCTTTACTCTAATTGTGCCATAGCTTTGCCACCTTAGCATTATAGAGCCTGGGGGGACATTTGAACTGGAAGGGGCGTAGACAGATACCAATGCATTACTCTGGACATCATTTATGCAATGAGATACACAGTATCAAGAGAAGAGAAAGGCATCACCAGTAACATGAACTTGAAATCCAGATCAGAGC
Source organism: Homo sapiens (assembly GCF_000001405.40). Lineage (NCBI taxonomy): Eukaryota > Metazoa > Chordata > Mammalia > Primates > Hominidae > Homo > Homo sapiens. The sequence continues at coordinate 29,811,738 of NC_000002.12, read as the reverse complement.
CAGGAATGGAGGAGCAGAAAGATTACAGATCCTACAGTGCAATCTGCCATCCTCTGTTTGGCCAGGTCAGCTACATGCCTTATTGTGTTTGTGCTTTAGAGTCATGCCTTTGGCATGAAATCAGTTTGTGTTAGGAGCACGGGAATATTTCCTGTGTGAAGCAATGAGTTAGTTCCATCTCACACCTGTCAGTGAGTCACAAACCTGAATACATGAAAGCTCCATCCATGCAGAGCTTTTAGAATCAGGGAACATCCATTTTTTAAGGACTATTACATTTGATCTAATCCTCTTCTCTTGAGACATGGAGATAAGCTTGACATTATGATGACCCAATGTAAATACTGTTTGTAAATATCTCATGGGCTGGTTATCTCTGCTTCTTTTGTAAGTATTCACGGGAGAGACCCTGGCTTTCCATCCTACCAAACTTCTTTCTGTTGTGCTACCTCCTCAAGCTACTTCATGTCTCATTTCTTGTGCTCTTCAGTTTCAAAGGGGGGGAGTCAGAATGTGCCTTCTCTCCCGCTTCACGTCCCCTGCTCCCCTCCAGCCTGGCCTTCGACCTCAGCACTGTATGAAAGCTCCTTATCTGTGTGACACTTGACACCTTTTTTCTTACCTCATCTCTTTCGACTCTGCAGTAGTCTGCTTGGGTTGCCATAACAACATACCATGGACTGGATGACTTAACCAAAATTTATGATTTCACAGTTCTAGAAACTAGAAGTCCAAGATCAAGGTGCTGTCAGAGTTGGCTTCTGGTGAGGTCTCTCTTCCTGGCTTGCAGACAGCAGCCTTTTCACTGTGTCCTAACATGGCTTTTCTTCTGAGAGTGTGCAGAGAGAAAGCTCCCTGGTGTCCCTGGTAGAGCCCTATCTTTATAACTTCATTTAACCTTAAATACCCTCCTAAAGACTCTATCTTTAAATACAGTTGCATTGGGAATTAGGGCTTCAAGCTATAAATTTGGAGGGTACACAATTCAATCCATAATGTATATATTCTTAATATAAGGCCTAAGAGACAGCCAGAAAAGGCCCTGTGGTTGCCACTTTATCAGCACAGGAAAGCATAGCTCAGAAAGTTCAAGTGACTTGCACAAAGTTGTCAGGCCAGTCAACGTTGAAACTGGGAGGAGAATCTGCATTTTCTGACTCTGCCCCTGATCTCTTCACATTGTTCTCCCAGGCCCTCCAATACAAGTTATTCAAGATTCAAGTCATACCCAACTAAAAATGCAATAGTCTTTTCTCAGCCATTATCTCATTGATAACATTTGATAGTATGACTATCCCTTTTTTTTTTTTTTTTTTGAGATGGAGTTTTGCTCTTGTCACCCAGGCTAGAGTGAAATGGTACAGTCTCTGCTCACTGCAATATCTGCCTCCCGGGTTCAAGCGATTCTCCTGCCTCAGCCTCCCGAGTAGCTGGAATTACAGGCAACCACCACCACACTCGGCTGATTTTTGTATTTTTAGTAGAGATGGCGTATCACCCTGTTGGCCAGGCTGGTCTCGAGCTCCTGACCTCAGGTGATTCACCCGCCTTGGCCTCCCAAAGTGCTGGGATTACACACATGAGCCACCATGTCCGGCTGACTCTCTGTCCATTTTTAGAAATTATGGTATCTCAATTAAATTAAGTTGTGAAGGAGAAAATTTTACCCAAAACACCACCATCTTGACACCATCACTGTTCTTTGTCTGTGTTACCTTTTTAACCCATATATAGTCATTAGACTCAGTTGTCAATGGGAAGTTGGAATGAGAAATCCATGGACTTGTCAAACTCTTCAAGTCTGACTTGGGAAGATTCTAAAGCCATAGGCAAATACAGACCACAAAATACAAACTGGTTACAGATAGACAAGTCCTTTCTCAGTGAAGCTGGACCATCCAGCAGCCACTTCCCTGTGCTCTTCACAAACCTGCTGGACAATACTAGTTGCTCTTTGGAATTCCCTGGCCTTGTATATGTCTCTGGAAAGTAATCATTTGAATTCAGGACAGAGCAGCAGAAGACACATCAAGATCCCACCAAACCTATGCTGTGACTGCATCTGAAGATGGGAAGTAGGGATCATGGGGATCTCACACACTCTTCCTAATGTCCTGCACCCCCAAACCAGGATAAAGGGCTGTTAGGAAGCAAGGTGCCAGGCAGCCCCCCTCCTATCCTTAAACCAAACTCCCTCACGGAGATAAAAGTAGTAAGGTCCAGTAGAATGAATATGAAGGGAGTCAGACCAACTGTAGTTCACATCCAACTCTGCCATGTAGTCATTTATTTTTTCACATCCTCCTTTGTTCCAGTAAAATTTTTGAATGGCTTTCTGCCTTATTACTTGCTATTAGGATGACATTCAGAAAGCCATCTTGATTTCAAACTCTCAGTATGATGGAGATAATAACAGCTACCTTGCAAGGAAGGCTGTTTTGAGGATTAAATGAAACAATGTATGGAAGGTCCAAGTACAACATGTGGCACATAGTAGGTGCCCAACACATAATATTCATTATTTTAAAATGGAAATGTACTTGTGTGGTAAGCTTGTGTTTCCAGAACCTTGCTTAAGTAAATGCTCTTCATCCATATTCTTCTGTAAAACTCATATGCTCTCCGATGTAGTTTAGCTTCTGCATAAAGTTTACACTGACCTGGTGTCATCAATAAGGGACTCATTATTCCACTGGTTTGGTGAAGCAATCCCTGGAAAGACATTAGGATTTGGGAATGGCAGGTGAGTATGGATGGGGCTAAATTATTTACTTCATCAAAGTGTCTCTGGGCTTTATCATGTAGGCCTGTCATAGGAAGCTGTACATAAAGATGAATAATGGTCCCTTTAACTCAGGGATCTGAAAGGTCACTGGGGCCGTGGCAGACATATAAAGTTGTGTTTGCCGCATCCATCAAGATGCAATTGTGTATGGATGTGATGCATGGCAGGCAGTGGAGGATGGACTTTTGCTTTCCACTTTGTATGCTGGTCATGCTGGGCTGCAATGTGGAAAGGCAGTGATCAGCCACCAGAAGGCCCAAAACCCTGTGCTGACACCACCCTTCATGGCCACTGCCTCCTATGGGGGAGCATTCAGAGCAGCAGGGATTTGGAGCACGGGCCAGTGAGAAGAGGGTAATGGCTTGTCTGTTTTTCCATCTGATAGGTATCCTGGGTCTCAGCTCACTCTATCTCCCAGGGATCTAGGAAATTGATGGAAGAAAAATGAGGCAAAGTGACTAATTCTGTCACTACGATGTGATGCACCTCAGGGTTGGGGATCAGTTGGCTCTGGGTTTCAGGTTTCTTGGCCTGAAAAGGAGGGACTGAGACTCTTGGGATCCAGAGCTTCAGAGAAGTCACGTGGCTTCTCTGAGTGCCAGATGCTTTTCAGACGAGGCTGCCTTTCATCTTCTCTCCACCTTCATAGGAGACACCAGACAAATGTGACACTATGGGCAAGTCATTTCCTGCACTGGGACCAACATCCTTGTTCTCCAAACTCTGGTCACATTTGTGCCACCTCCATTATCCATGTCCTCTTTGTGTAACTTGTACTTAGTATCTTTTCCCATAGACTGTTTTTAATTTCAATGCATTTATTTTTAAGGAAGAAACCTTATATGGTTTAGTAATTGCATATAGAAAATACATTAAAAAAAGAGATAAAATGAAAACCAAACAATGAGATTAGATCCTTGATAGATGCTTTGGCCAAATCAAAGTCTCTAAGCCTGAAGCTTGCTCTCTCTTTGTTAAAAAAAGGAGCTTGGCAAGTGTCAGAGAAGCAGCACCTAATTGAAACTCTCTCTCTTTGAGATACTCAGAAGGGTTAAAAGAGAATTAAAAACAGACATCACCTTCTCACAATGTGATCTAATGTTATTTAATAATCCATGCCTGTGTTATGGAAAGCATTTCCCAAACCATCTACAGTGAGATGCCATAACAACAATAGTATGGATTCTATACTGTGGGGAAAATTCTACAAGGAAACTTTAATTCCCTTTTAACTCCACATTTTTATTACTTCATCTATTATCCATAATGATCACCTTATTAACCATTTATATTTCCATTTTCACTGGTACTACTTGCTTACTGGCTTGTATGAAGCTGGCATTTATTTGAACTCCCACCTAACACTTGTACCTTCAAACAACTTCCAGGTGCTAAAACCATTGTCACTTTCACTCAGCAAATCATCAGAGCCTGGAGGCAGGCCAAGGAACAAGCCCTGAGACTTCCTCTGCCCAAAGCTCCTGGCATGTGTTGGGCCCCTGAGCACAGAGCCCTCCCTGGCAGAAGGACACCTCCTCACCCTCTTCCTGAGGGCTGCCACCATTCCAATGAGTAATGTTTTCAGACAGATGCAAAATCAATAGCACAAGACTCACACCGCTATGGTTATCTTCTATTCTTTTTCATTCACCCTCCCTTGGCTTCCTTAGATGAGAGTCTGGGGAGAGATTCGTCTCCTCCCTTGTTTCTTATTATGTCACTGTTGTAGCCACAGGGGCGAGAATAACAGATATTTCTAGGTTGTCAGGGAGAGATAGGAAAGGCGAGCTCTTGGTAGCACCTGACAACTTGCCATAAAGACTCAAGGCACTATTTGTGGGCTTTAAGAAAGTTAAAGTTTTAATTGTCATCTTCAATCTGCACAGATTGTAATCCTTGCTAAGGATTGCTCCCAAGTGAAATTTGAAAGTACTTTAGGTGGTCGGGTTGTCTAAGATCTCTTTAATTATGGTGTGTGTGTATGTGCGTGCACGTGCACATGTGCGCACACATCTATGTTTTTCCTTACAATTGTCTAACACAGACCTGTGGTCTTTTCCTCCAAGAACCCTGTTTGTTCCTCTTACCACCATCTAACCTAAGACCGTCTTCTGCAACTCATTTGTTTTGCTTCTTGTGTCTTTGCCACCCAGAAATGGCCCCCATGCGTGCCTGTACATACCCTATGCAGTGGGGAGAGTTGTGATGAATCAGCCATTTCCCCATCTGACTTCCTCATGGTGTCACCAACTCCTCTACCTTCCCCCGGAAGGCTTTAAGTCCTCACCAATCTATTTTGACAAACCCCAGCATTCCGGACAACATCTGCAAATATTGACATTGCTCAGGTAGAAAATCCTGCCAGGTGAGGACATGGGCAGGTAGTCTCAACTGGGCTTCAGCACAGCTCAAAGTTTTCAGCCACTGTGCAATTTTAGTTACCTTTGTGTTTGCCCACATCAGCTGGCGGCTCCTTCTCTCCCAACTTTAATTGTTTAACGGTAGCTTCTAAGCTATCTTTCATTTTGGGGGGTGTTCCTAGATTTCGATCTCATTTTCTCTTTTCTAAATGATTTCTTTCCTCTGCTGTTATCACATGGAACCCTTTTCTTCTGATTTAAAACACTGTTAGTCTTTCTCCCATGCTATTAAGAAGCTTCAGCATCCCACACCTCTCCCCACTGACAGCAATTACAGACCCAATGCACACACGCACACCGTGTGATTTAGGCTTTGCATTCAACTCTCTCTGACCTCTTACCTTAGTCTTAAGACCATCCTAAGGGATTCAGGCCTTTCCATATGGTATCACAGTTAGAAGACTATGAAAAAAAAGATAACAATGCATTGATTTTTATTTAAACATCTGGATATTTGAAGGCTTCTGGAAATTACTTACCTACTGAAGCCTGGGGACGTATAGACACACACAGACACCCCTCCATTTCACCTCCTCACTCACATGTACATGGCTTGTCAAATGTGCTGAGTTCCTTATGGTTTGGGTTCTGTAATCCTCAGCTGGTATCTCTGCTACCTAGCCCAGCAATATGAAGATAGTGCTCAGATACAGGAGTGAAATAGAGATGAAGAGTCAGGGATGGAGAGGTGGGAGAAACCAGCAGCCTGAACACATAAACAGAGATGATTAAAAAGTGCTCCCCATTATTCACAATAGCCAAGACATGGAATCAACCTAAATGCCCATCAACGATAGACTGGATAAAGAAAATGTGGCACATATACACCATGGAATACTATGCAGCCATAAAAAAGAACAAGATCATGTCCTTTGCAGGGACATGGATGGAACTGGAAGCCATTATCCTCAGCAAAGTAACACAGGAACAGGAAACCAAATACCACATGCTCCCACCTATAAGTGGAAGCTGAATAATGAGAATACGTAGACACGGGGAGGGGAACCACACACACTGGGGCCTGTCTGGGAGCAGGAGGAAGGAGAGCATCAGCATAAATAGCTAATGCATGTGGGGCTTAATACCTAGGTGATGGGTTGATACATGCAGCAAACTACCATGGCACACATTTATGTATGCCATGTAACAAATCTGCATGTCCTGCACATGTCCACACTATGTAACAAATCTGCATGTCCTGCACATGTATCCAAGAACTTTAAATTAAATTAATATTTTTTAAAATAGTGCTCCCAGGAGCTCGAGCCTATTTGTATAGTGCTTCTATCCTGTAGCCCTTAATGTGTAAGGACTCCTTGTCTGTTATGTTAGCTGCCCTCACAGTCATTCTGTGGGGTTGGCGAGGTGGGCACTATGACTGTTCTCATTTCATTTAATAGGTGATGAGTTGTTTCACAGTGGGCAGGTCTGTGCAAACTTAGCCCCCAAAGTTCAAGGAAGCTGAGAGGCTGAAAAAGAGGCTGACAGATCCAGTTTCTCAGAAACATTTAATAGAGGCTTCCAAACAGAAACCAGACAAGATAGTAGATCTCTGCACCATTACTCCTCAGGCCCGGGAAAGGGGGATATGTGATTCAGAAGTGATGTGTAGGACAATCAACGCACCATAACATCAAGGTTGTTTTGACATCTAGGGGCAGGATTTATAGTAAATACAGTGCTGTTATGCAGGAACAATAGATAAACTGGAAATCTTACAGGCCTTCCGAGAACTAGGGTTACTCAAAAGTCAACATGGCAGATTAGCATCCAAGATGGAGTTTCTTTAGCCCCCAACATGGGTCTAAGAAACAGAGAGGGTGGGCATACTTTCCAACTTGGAAAAAGTCAGAATTAGGACTAATGGGCTGCGACGCCAGCCCTGGTATCACCTTAAACCCAACGCAGACAATGGAAGGCAATGGAGGTAGAGTGGGAGTCACAGGCCTCCACGGCCGCCAGGTAAGTGAGCTATGATGGCTCGATAACCTCTCTGAACCTGTGTTGCCATATCTGCTGAAGGCACACAGTCTTCCTGGCCTGCCTTACTTTTAAATGGTTACAGTCTTAAGCTGCATATGAGGTGAGGGTTTGAAAGTCCGTTGTGACCCAAACAATGCTGGGCATTAGTCCGTGTTAGGCTTCAGGGACAAATCCATACCTTGTATCCAGGCCCATTCTAGATATTTAAAGTCTCATTAGTTGGGAGTGGAATGAGATGGCATCAAGGGAGACAGAGCATGGGCTGCCCTGCCTTGTACCCCACCTGTCTGTGGGGCCAGTGGCAACAGGCAGCCACTTTTAACTTTCACTTGGAAACATATCTTTACATTCAGTAGCTAGTTCTTAGAAGATGAGATTACTGTTCTGAAAATGTTCTAACTGCGGGCTTCACAGATAGGCAGGCTTTTATATTTTGCAATGCTGTAATGAGCAAAAAGAAAAAGAGATTTAGTTTTCCTGGTCTGCCCCTGAGTATTGCCTAATTGTCTTGAAAAACAATTGACTTGGTCTTTCTCATTCAGCTTCTAATACTGAACATATGTATATTATGTCTCCCATCTTACTTATCTATTTACCACTGTTGCTTGGGGGAGGTTAATTTATTCTCAGCCTAAGTTGTTTGTTCCCTAAAAATGCCTCCTGTAAGGGACATTGAGGCAGAGCCCATATACACATGTAAGGAAATGGAGAACAGCGTCTTTTATGAGGCATGACGCACCAAAGGGTTTGGGCTTCCTTCCCCCACCTCCAACCTCTAAGCTTGGCATCCCATTATTTATCTGCATTACTTCTTAAATCTACATTTCACTATGTAGACAAGCCGAGACAATGTTTATTCTACATGAATGAATCAACCCTGGTGCAGTCAATTTATTTCTCCTTAGTAGGATAAAAAGACAATTGCCATGTGATGGATTGGATGAAACATAGAGCAATCGGAAATAATGGTGAAGAAGGTAAAGACCAGCACCCTGACAGCCCAATGTTATTTTTCTCTCTAAACAGAGGCGGATATGGCTAAACCCCTCTATTCAGTTTCCACACCTTGACTGTGAAGAATACCCCAAGCGTGAGAGTGGACTTGCGTAAACAACCAATTATTGTTTTACAAAGTTAATCACCAGTTGCTGGCCTTTTAGTTATTATTAAGGAATCAGTGGAATTCAAGCAAATAAGAGTCTGACTCTATTCAGCTTTACAATAATACTTTGTGGGAGCTTCATCTCTTCTGGCCCATTCTCTGCCCACATCTGCTGCCTAATGGGCTAGGTTGTTCAGAAGCTCATGTTGATGGAGTTGCAGCAATGACAGATTTCTTTGGTCTGAATTACGTGGACTATTGCCCAAATTGCCACTTTTTGTTTTGCTGGCATAGACACAGCTCATTGAGAATGAGTAACTCCCTGAGGTTGCTTTAAAAAAAGATTTGGCATTTAATAAAAGCAATTCCTTACTTGCATAACAGTTCAAGCCATTTTAGATAATTAAGAAAGAATTCCTTTGAATACATTGTAACTACTTTTTAAAAGTTCTGTTATTTTTTTAAAATCCCATTTAGGTTATTTGCATTTTTCCAAGAAACAGAGAACTGTACCTAAGCCAAAATGCATGGTTTGGGGGTCAGTGTTGAGGGGATGGCTGTCACTGTCTAAAATATGTCTTGGGCCTTCTGTTTGGTTTTTCAACCCTTTCCTCCTTCTCCTCATTATTATAAACCACAACTGATAACCAAAAAAGGAAAAAAAAAAAAAAGAGTTCCAGTCTCTTTTGTTTCTTTTCCCCTTTCCAGTGTAGGTACAAGGGTATAGAACAGTGATCTAAAAATCATATTGGCAGAAGGGGATGGGTAGAGAAAAAATCCTGAATAATCTACCAACTTGATAATCATACCCTGAATATAGATTTGGGATTTGGCTCTGGAGGGTTTTCTCCCCTCCCCTCTCTTCCCCTCCCCTCCCCTCCCCTCCCCTCTCCTCCCCTCCCCTCCCCTCCTCTCCCCTCCTCTCCCCTCCCCTCCCCTCCTCTCCTCTCCCCTCTCTTCCCCTCCCCTCCTCTCCCTTCATCTCCCCTCCCCTCCCCTCCCCTGCCCTCCCCTCCCCTCCCCTGCCCTCCCCTCCCCTCCCCTCCCCTCCCCTGCCCTCCCCTCCCCTCCCCTCCCCTCCCCTCCCCTGCCCTCCCCTCCCCTCCCCTGCCCTCCCCTCCTCTCCCCTCCCATCCCCTTCCCTCCCCTCCTCTTCTCTGCTCTACTCTCCTCTTTCTCTTGATAAGCAAGACCATGGAAGTTGCCCAGTGCAATCAACCTCTAAGCTTTCTTCTTTTCTCATTCAGTCTCCATACTTCACTGAGCTTAAGTAGGTAACTATTTTGGGAGACATGCATGGGTTTCTTATGTGACTGAGCCAAATATATTTAATCTTGATTAGTTTTGGGAGATTTTGTTTTGACATTTAAACCAAGTCAACATTTAAACAGAATTATTTTCTTTGATTGTACAGTTTTCCTTACAGAACAAGAGGTAGATTTTGATTTGGAGTTTATCATTATTATCATCATTATTATTTATGTCCCCCAGACCTAGGGGTTAAGAAGTTGTTTACTCTATCATTTCCCAAACTGATTTGCCCTGCAGTGGTACTGCAGCTCTGTAGTAGAAAGAATACTGACATAAGAGTCAAGTGACCTTCAGGATCCTAAAGCTGATTCTTAATAAATAACTGTGGTTTTAGGCTGTGATTTCTCAGCCTCCATTTCCTCAATATTGAAATGATGTGTTACTGGATAATTTCTAGGAGCCCTTTTAACTTTTATGGTTTGCACTAGCAAATGGAGAGCTGTATTTCTGTCCTCCTGGAAAAAGAAAGAAGTCAGGCAGGGAGGCAGGAAGGAAAACAGAAAATGAAAAAAAGTTAAGTGAAAAACAGAAGGCAAAACCAAGGAATAGAGGCCAATTTCTACTAAAGTGGTTGTGTGGCATCCCTGATCCTTGAAGGCTGAAAGTCGTGCAGCAATAGCATACAGAATGCACGATGCAGGCAAAACCTATATGTCTAGGAGCCGAACTTAGAATCGTTAAAAGCAAATGAGAAAACTGAGGTGTTGCTCAGTATAGGTAGGAGCTAGAATGCTCATCTGTTTTTTTCTCGTTGTTGTTTGTTTGTTTTTTTAATAAAACTGTCTCTGGGACTGAGTGATAGATGACTAGTCATTGAGCTTAAAAATTCTATGTGTTTTTCAAATTAGGTGCAATGAAGAGGAACTGGAAATTGGGAAAGCAAATGGGTTATTGTTTTCCATGTTTCTTGTTTTCTTCGCCTACTCTTGGTGGAAGACATTTCTCACAGTATCTGCTAGTTATTATGCATAGCTTTTCTTTTTCCTCCATCAGCTAGGTAGGGGAGCATATTCCTGGGCCTCATGGTCTTCCATAGGTTGAAGGTTGTGTCTCTCTTGCCATCTGTAGGTTCTTGGGAGGTTGGGGGAGCTGCTTCAGGACCTGTTCCTCCCTGAGGTTGCTCTGCCCCTCACAGTGAGTAGGACCCACCTACCCCGATTTGGGTGAGAGAGGGGAGGCCAGCGCCCACGGGAGCCCACAGGAGGGAGAGAGGAGCATGGGCACGCTTAGCGGCGTGGCTCTGATCTGTCACCACACATCACAGATGACAAATGACTATACTGTAAATTACTCAGCTCCCCAAATTGCCTTATTTAGGACTCAGAAGCCCCATGCGTTGGGAATATTGTGGTTCTTCCTCTCTGCCTGTTTTACCTTGGTGGTTGGATGGGTGTGGGGTAGATTTGAGCCCAGAGGGCTCTCCTTGCATCTCAAAGAGAAGAGCTTGTTGTTAAGTCTGAGGTGTAGGAAACCTGAGTGCCTCCAGGGCTCTGGTCCTTCTCAGCAACCTCCCTGTTGCCACACTTCAGTGGAAATTCCTGGGTACCCTAATCCTAATGATTTTAGGGCTGGGGTTGGTAGCTGCAGGGGGTTGTAAGGAGTTCTCTGTCCCTGTTGACCAGCCACTTCTGCCAAGATTCCTGGTCCATAAGGAATTATCCTCTGCATAGTCCCAACACCTTCTTCCAACTGTTTTATGTGATCATCTTACATTGCCTGTGAACGCAATAAAACCAAGTAATGGTTCACATTCCTTGCCTGAGCTTCAGGAAACGGCTGGGAATGATGAAGAAACATGCAAGGATTTGTTTCTGTGCTCAGATGCTAAGGACTAAGTCTGGTTCCTTGCCTTTGCCCAGCATGCTGGTGGCTGGACTTTCCTGAAGTCCTCTGAGAAGTTAATCCTGCTATCTCTCAGCCATGAGGGCTGTGCCCCACCTGTCACTCTTCAGCCTCCTCTCAGGCATTGCCTCCTCTGAGGGGTCCTCCCTGGCTTTCACATTCCTCTCCACCCCTCACTTTCATCTCCAATGAGTGTCCTCATTCCGGACTGTCATCATTCTTAGAGCACGGCACGCACCACACTGAATTATGGTTGTTACTTTGCATGTTCACCTCCCCTACTTGGAGTCCGGAGCTTTGTCCTATTCTGCACCCTAATGCGGCACAGTGCCAGGTACAGAGAAAGTTCTGAACACAGGTGTGCTGAATGAATAGATGAATGCAAGGATGCTGGCTCGGCCACAGTTGTTGTCATTGTACTTTTTGGTCTAGTTTTGCATTTCTTGATCAGCCAAATGTGGTTTATTGATGACAATACAATATTACAGTATGCCTTTTTCTCATTTTGAGGTCTTTATGATGATTTTTAATGTATTTTTCTGTTATTTTTGTTTGTCAACTCTTCTCTCTCTTAAAATATTGTTTTACATTTTTATTTATTTTACTTTATTTCTGAGTCAGGGCTTGCTCTGTGACCCAGGATGGAGTGCAGTGGTGCAATCATAGCTCACTGAGCCTTGAACTCCTGGCTCAAGTGATGCTTTCACTTTAATCTCTTGAGTAGCTAGGACTATAGGTGTGTGCCACTGTGCCTGTTTTTTGTTTGTTTGTTTGTTTGTTTGTTTGTTTTGTTTTGAGACAGGATCCCACTGTGTTTCCCAGGCTGGTCTCAAACTCTGGGCCTCAAGCTATTCTCCTGCCTTGGCCTCCTAAAGCACTGAGATTATAGGTGTGAGCCACTGCACCCAGCTGCTATTACTTTATTAGTGTTTTTAAAGTGATACATGGTCATTCTTTCCAACCCAACTCTTCTGTGACCCCATTCTGAACCACTTCAGCATCCAAGTTGGTGCCCTTGCTGGATTTCAATGGCTAATTCAGAATTTAGAAGTTTCTGAAAATGTTTCTTTTCAACACTCAAAAGAGAAGTGGAAACAAATGATAGAGAAGCAACTATGGAAAGTTTGTTGGTTTTTATAGTAACCTGGCTGGTGAAAAAGCCCATATGAACAATATCTAGCTGGTGCAGCTGTGGCTTCCAATTTCAGACAATTTCAAATCCCCTCATCTCATTGATTTCTCACAATAGCTGTGTGAGGTAGGTGGAGCAAATTTTCTAAAATTTCTATTTTATAGACGAGAGAATGGAAACTCAGAAAAGCTCAATGGCATATCCAAGTTCTCACTGGTGGTAAGCACAGGAGGAATAGAGCCAAGGCCCCTGACTAAATGCAGTGTCCTCGCCATCACACCGATGACCTCTCCATTCTTTCCCTCTTTCTCCCTCTCTTTTTTTTCCCCCAGGAAAATTCTCCAGAACGGTCAGAGTCCTTCTCTCTAGGATTGAGGTTTCTGGGTATTATTCTCCCTGGGGTGGGGATAAAGCCGTCCTTACCTAAGTGCGGCTTAAAGGAAGAAAAAAGTTCTTTGGGTTATTATCATCCTACCTTTGGATGTCCATGGAAGCATAGAGGGTTCTAGATATGGTGGCAAATATAGAATGTGGCCAAAGACTGTCATACCTCTCGAGAGCTTCACCATTCTTTAATTGCCTTTTAAGGTACATTTGCTGAAAAGACCTGGATGCGAGGAGCGGGGGTTTTTGTACTTTGTGATGAAAAGACCAAATTCTACATATTTTCTGTCCAGCACAAAATCTCTTCAAATCATGTATGGTTTCTAAATTTTAAACAACAACTCACATTCCAGCAATATTTGAAATCACCAGTTTCCAAATGCAATAGAATTCTAATTCCTTAGATTTCCCTTTGATGGGATTTCTGTGGCTAATTTTGTCCCTGTGAGTGAACCTAGGGCTGAGTGTACTTGGCTTTCCCAAAATGGAAAGGAGCTGGTGATGATACCAATTTAATAATAAAGCATCCAAAAGACTCCCTCTCTCACACACACAAAGAGAGGCTTTGGCCACATAAGTCCCAACATGGTGATGGTTATTTCCTTTTGGATTTAGCCTTCTGTGCTTGTTTCTTTATTAGCTGATGTAATGAAGGACACTGGCAGGTGTGAGGAATCTGGCTGCTAGGCTTTGCCCTCTGGGATCGTAGTTGATGGCAACACCAAATAGTGCTCACCCTTAAGATACCTGGTCACAAGCCTGCAGGCAGCTTTAAGACTTCCTTACTAACCAGGAAGATATGGAGCTTACCACCCCGTGGCCTTCCGCAGGTGGCTCTACTTACTCCTTTTCATCTTTTCTGGTACCCTTTGGATGGCCACAGCTAAAGCTTTCTTGACCCAAATTCTTGGGTCAATGAGTAAATGAATAAACAGGTATAGTGCTTTGGTGAAAGTAAAAAAAAAAATCCTATTTATCTGCTTTTTGAAAAAAAAATCAACAAATATTTGTTTAGCACCTACTTTGTGCATGGATATGGAGATGAGTAGGAAAGAGTCCCTGATTTAAGGAGATTTAAAAATCTAACACTACTCCAGTAACTAGTCAGAATATCAGTTCCTTCAATCAGCAAATATTTAGTGAGTCCTTCTACACTAAGCAATGTCCCTGGCACTTGGGCTATACTGGTGAATGAGACAGACATGGTCCCTGCCTTCAGGGATCCTAGAGTTCCAAAAGGGAGAGAGACACATGAACAAGCAATGATAGTGGGGATATTACTCCTTGCTGTCCTTTGATGGGAGAAGGAGAGTGTCTGATAAACTGGATCTTAAGAGAGATTCACAGGCAAGAAATCAAATATAACTGGGGTGCAGGGGCAAAGATTAGAGGATGCTTCAAGGAGAAGCATTTGAAAAAAATCTTTGAAAGACTTATGAATAGGAGCAGGAGGTGAGCATTTTTGGTGGAGGAAATAGCATGAGCAAATGGCAAGGAAGTGGGAGAGCAGAGTGAGCTCAAGAAACAGAGTTATCTGGACTGGTTAGAATATACAGGATGGGACAGTTAAAGGAAGTTATGAGCAGAGAGCTGCTAAACTTCATTTGTTTTTAATTTTTTTAAAATGATGGCAATCTAAAGAAAGGTTGCTAGGATAGTATTGTTTGTTTCTATACATCTTTCTGTTAGATTTTATAATCTAATTATTTACATTTTGCCATATTGTTTCTCCATATATATATGTGTGTGTATGTGTGTGTGTGTGTGTGTGTGTGTGTGGGTGTGCGTGCATATATGTGTATGTATGTATGTATATATGTATGTAATTTTTGTTATTGTTGTCATTGAGCCATTTGATAGTAAGTTGTGAGCATCATGACCTTGTGTCTCCTAAAATTACACTAATAGAATTTTATTTGTGCTTATTCTTCTACATTTAAAAAAACTCATGAAAGGTAGCTCACCTCCTCTCCCCATTGTCATACCCCGTGCCCCACCCCACACCGGAGCTTCTTTTAAGGTAGTTGCAGCTCCATTTGCATCTTTCTGAGCTTTGAAATGAACAGCTGCTGAATAGCTAGGTTGCTTAGAGAAAAGAAACGAGTTTAAACAACTCCAAAGTTATTCGTAGTCTCTGCTGGGTTGAAGCAGACAGGGCCATCTGTGCTTTCTGTTCATATCTCAGGACCTGAAAGAAAATATTCTATGAGGCTTAGGAGAAAATGACATAAAATGAATCCATTCTGTTGTCAGTGATCATAATGAAACTAGAGAACAGGTACAAAATCAATTCATTCTTATTACAATTTTCAGATTGCCATCTTCCCATTTGTTCAGATGCAGGTCTGATGGCTCAAATTGGTCTTTGTAATATTTAAGGAGCTTTTTTGGTCTTTTAATATTGGCTTATCAGTTCCAGTAATTTTACCTCCCAGAGTGAAATTGGCTGCTAACGTTTGGAGGAAATCCGTGCTGTATTTTTCGTAAGTTTTGCTGATCGTCACTCACCAGGCTACAGTAAATGTGCTTCTGGCTTATTAAGAAGACAGCCACAGAGACTGGATGCTTTATTACAGATCTACCGATGGTTCCAGGAGCTCTTCCCTAGCAGAGAGACCCTTTGTGAAGTATTTATCTATTTATCTATTTTTCTGCCATAATACCTAGATCTTCTGTTTAGACGTCTTCTCATTTGACCATAAGGATAAAAGAGAAAACTCAGGCCTACAAATGATTCTTTTATTTCTCCTTCAAGGCTGTGTGTGTGGACCTCATAGAGAGAGATTAGGAAGGAAAAGAAGGGCAGAAGGAAAAGCAGTTCGAAGGCCGTTGTCAACCTCATCCTATCTTTCTCCTGTTGCAAAGTAATAATTGGAATATGCAGTTATGTCCTTTTTATAAAAATGTCATGCTAATTATAAAAATAATGCATAGTAATTATTTTTCAAATAATTGAAAAAGAAGAAATTAATTGTTCATAATACTACCCACCAAAGATAACTACTGTTAACAATTTAGTATTTTTAAATCAGTCTTTGTGAGTTTAAAGACTAGAGTTGATTCATATAAAATTTTTAAGATGATATTTTCATTTAATATTACATAAAGTCTTAGTCATCTTTGTTGGAAGTTACATAATAACTTATCTTTTGGACATGCCATATTTACTTTATCACTTTTTATTTCAAGTAGCTACTTTGCTTCCTAGTTTTGTTCTGTTTTGTTTATCCTATAAAGATTGCAGCAGTGAATATTCTTATGCAAAAAAGCTTTTATGTGTATAACAGGTAATTTTCTTGGGATGGATTTCGATGAGTTAAATTACTGGGTCAAAAAATAGGTATATTGTAAAGGCGATCTATATTTGCCTTTAGAGAGTTTTTTAAAATGCTCTTCCAGAACAATTTATACTCCCACTAGAAGTGTATAAGAATGCTTATCTCACGCAACACTTGCCAGAACTGCATATTATTTAAAAATATTTTTTAATTAGATGGGCAAAGAAAAACTGCCACCTTAAATTACAATTCTTTGCTTACCAGCGAGGCTGAACAACTTTTCATATTTGTTAGCTCTTTGCGTGTGTGTGTGTGTGTGTGTGTCTGAATTTTCTGTTGATGTTCATAGCCTTTTCACCTGCCTGTCTTAGTGTTTTTCTAAATTATTTGGATGATATCAGGACTAACCCTCCATCTACTACGTTTGTTGTAAATTTTTCCCAATTTGAAAGTCTTTTGCAATATTTGTATGCAGTTGTAACACAGACATACTTCCATTTTTCGTGCTTTGCTTTATTTCACTTCACAGATATCACAACTTTCACAAATTGAAGTTTTGTGGTGACTCTGCTTGGAAAGAGTCTGTCAGCACCATGTTTCCAACAGCATGTGTTTCCTTCATGTCTCTGTGTCACATTTTGGTAATTCTCGCAATATCTCAAACATCGTTAATATATCTGTTATGGTGATATGTGATTGGTGATCATTGATGTTACTCTTCTAATTGCATTGGGATGCCACAAACCATGCCCCTATAAGGTGGCGAAGTTATTCAATAATTGTGTGCTCTGATTGCTCTACCAACCTGCCATTTTCCTAACTCTCTCCATCTCCTTGGGCTTCCCTGTTCCCTGAGATACAAAAATATTGAAATTAGGCCAGTTAATAACCCTACAGTCGCCTCTAAGTGTTCACGTGAAGGGAAGAGTAGTATGTCTCTCACTTTCAGTAAAAAACTAGACATGATTAAGTTTGGTGAGTAGGCATGTCAAAAGCTGAGACAGATCAAAAGCTAGGCCTCTTGTGCCAGTTAATCAAGTGTGATGGAAAGGAAAATTATTGAAAATTAAAAGTGCTACCCCAGTGAACACACAAATGATTTTTTTTAAAGCAAAACAGCCTTATTGCTGGTATAGAGAAAGTTTGAGTGTTTTGGATAGAAGATCAAATCAGCCACAATATTTCCTTAAGTCAAAGCTTAATCTAGTGCAAAGTTCAACTCTCTTCAATTCTATGAAGGCCAAAAGAGGTGGAGAATCTGCAGGAGAAAAATTGGAAGCTAGCAGAGGTTGGTTCACGAGGTTGAAGGAAAAAAGCCATCTTTATAACATGAAAGTGCGAGGTGAAGCAGCAAGTGCTGATGAAGAAACTGTAGAAAGTTATCCAGAAGATCTACCTAAGATAATTGATGAAGGTGGCTACACTAAACCATCAAACTAGGCAAAACAACCTTATATTAGAAGAAGATGACACTTAGGACTTTCATAGCTACAAAAGAGAAGTCAATGACTGGCTTCAAAAACTTCAAGGGACAGGCTGACTCTCTTGTTAGGGGTGAATACAGGTGGTGATTAAGTTCAAGTCAGTCTTATTTACCATTCTGACAATCCCAGGGCTTTTAAAATTATGCTAAATCTACTCTGCCTGAATTCTATAAATGTAACAACAAGGGCTGAATGACAACACAAGTGTTTACAACATGGTAAACCATGTAAACTGAATATTCAATAAATGGAATATTTTAAGCTCATTTTTAATACCTACTGCTCAGAAAAAATGATTCCTTTTAGAATGTTACTGCCCATTGACCATGCTCCTCATCACTGGAGAGCTCTGATGGAGATGTACAAGAAAATTAATTTTTTTATGCCTACTAACACAGCATCCTTTCTGCAATCCATGGATAGTGGACTAATTTTGACTTTCAAGCCTTATTATTTAAGAAACATGTCTTGTAAGGCTGTAGCTGCCATAGATAGTGATTCGTCTGATGGATCTGGGCAAAGTAAGTTGAAAACCTTCTGGAAAGGATTCACTACTCTAGATGCCATTTAGAACATTTTTAATGCATGGGAGGAGGTCAAAATAACAACATGAACAGGGGTTTGGAAGAAGTTGATTCCAGTCCTCATGGATTACTTTGAGGGGTTCAAGACTTCAGTAGAGTCTTCGTTGGAGGCAGCAATTGGAGATGTGATGGAAATAGCAAGAGAACTAGAATTAGAAGTGGAGCCCAAAGATGTGACTGAATTGCTGCAACCTCATGATCAAACTTGAACGGATGAGATGTTGCTACTTGTGGATGAGCAAAGAAAGTGGTGTTTTGAGATGGAATCTACTCCTGGTAAAGATGCTGTGAACATTGTTGAAATGGCAGCAAAGGGTTTAAAATATTACATAAACTTAGTTGATAAAGCAGTGGCAGGGTTTGAGACGATTGACTTCAATTTTGAAAGATTTACTGTGGGCAAAATGCTATCAAACAGCATCATATGCTACAGAGAAATCTTTCATGAAAGGAAGAGTCAATGGATGCAACAAACTTCATTATTGTCTTATTTTAAGCAATTGCCACAGACACCCCAACCATCAATATTGAGGCAAGACCCTCCATCAGCAAAAAGATTATGACTCACCAAAGACCCAGATGATTGTCAGCCATTTTAGCAATAAAGTATTTTTAAATTAAGATGTGTATATTTTTTTAGAGATTATGCTATTGCATACTTAATAGTCTAAGTGTAGTGTAAGCATAACTTTTATATGCACCAAAACCAAAAAATGTTGTGTGACTTGCTTTATTGCAATACTTGCTTTATTGCAATACTTGCTTTATTGCAGTGGTCTGGAAATAAACCCTCAATATCATTGAGGCATTTCAAATGGTCACATTTTGCTCATTTTCTTTTAATCCTTTTTACTGATTTTAATCTTAGAAAATCCTGTCTTATCTAAAGATGTGTGAAATACCATTTTGTGTTTCCATTGAGTTTTGTTATGGATTATTTTTCTTACACTTACTTTATCTGCCTTTTATTGTGGTAGATGATTTGAATTGAGGGTTCAAATGAGTTTTTCCCCAAAACTTAACTAGTGGCCCCCAGCAGTAATTATTATCTAGTGCTACCCTCCCCCTGAAACTGAGATGTCCCATTTATTACATATTAAATTCTTATACAGACCTGAGTCTGTTTCTGGAGTCTCCACTGGAATGTTCCATTATTCCATCTATCTACCTTCTGCAACTGTTCCACTGTTCCATCTGTTTTTGTGTTAGCACCACACATTTTAAGAATGAAAGCTTTATAAAATACCTAATGTATAGTTAGAGAATTCCCCATCCCTCCATTTGTTTTCCCTAACAAAAAAGGTTAAAACTATTTTTAGCTATTTGTTGCAACAGAGGAGTTTCAGAATCATTTTTCAAGTTCCAAAGAAATTATATTCATGTTTTGGTTAGAATTGTTTAAACCTATACATGGACACTTCAAGGTTACAACTCTTATTTCATAAGCTCATGTTATGATCAGAATTGCTGATTCCTAAACATCTATGGAAAACACAAAATACTCATTTTCAGATAACTTAGTGCATCTGAATCACCCGATTGTTTAGAGAAAATCCTGAAATGCAATGTTTCAAATTCCCTCAAATTATAATTATTAATTGATGATGAATGACAAAGACTGTCTTTTGGTCTATATTGCACAAACCATATAAACTAGTTGAAAGTAAGTCAATAAATAAATGGATGGATGAATGAATGAGATTACAAAAGCGTCATGAAAAACAAGAGATCTGGTCTACCAGAGGCCTTCAGTATCATCTGGGCAGTGGTGACTATTGTTTGGAAATATATATATATATATTTTTAATTATACTTTAAGTTCTGGGATACATGTGCAGAATGTGCAGGTTTGTTACATAGGTATACACATGCCATGGTGGTTTGCTGCACCCATCAACTCGTCATCTACATTAGGTATTTATCCTAATGCTATCTCTCCCCTACCCACCACCCCTCGACAGGCCCTGGTGTGTGATGTTCCCCTCCCTGTGTCCATGTGTTCTCATTGATCAATTCCCACTTATGAGTGAGAACATGCAGTGTTTGGTTTTCTGTTCTTGTGTAGTTTGCTGAGAATGATGGTTTCCAGCTTCATCCATGTCCCTGCAAAGGACATGAACTCATCCTTTTTTATGGCTGCATAGTATTCCATGGTGTATATGTGCCACATTTTCTTTATCCAGTCTATCATTGATGGGCATTTGGGTTGGTTCCAAGTCTTTGCTATTGTGAAAAGTGCTGCAATAAACATATGTGTGCATGTGTGGAAATATTGTCTGACAACATCAATTACATATGGTACAGAGATAGGAAACTAAATGTTTATTGAGTTACACTGGGCATTTTGTTAGGTGTTTTTCACATGTTATCTAATAGAAGAAAAATAAGATAAAGGAAAGGAAGAGACTTGCCAAGAGGTCACAGAGACTGTAAGAGGTGGACCCAGATACAGATTCCTATCTCTTGGGCTTCAGAGCCTTTGCTGTCACTCCAGTTTCTGCAGCCTGGAGTGACAGGTCTAATGTATAGGATCTTAAAGGATTATTTTTTGGCCGGGTGAGGTGACTCACACCTCTAATTCCAGCACTCTGGGAGGACCAGGCAGGTGGATCACCTGAGGTCAGGAGTTTGAGACCATCCTGGCCAACATGGTGAAACCTCATCTCTGCTAAAAACACAAAAATTAGCCGGGTGTAGTGGTGGGCACCTGTAATCCCAGCTACTTGGGAGGCTGAGGCAGGAGAATTGCTTGAACCTGGGAGGCAGAGGTTGCAGTGAGCCGAGATCGTGCCATTGCATTCCAGCCTGGGTGACAGAGCAAGACTCCATCTCAAAGAAAGATTTTGTGTGTGTGTGTTCCAATGTCAATATGTCAGAAATAGCAATGGGTAGTAACATTTTAGAAATAAAGTCCCACTGATGATTATTTACCCTTGGAAAAGAACCACAAGATTCATCTTTTTTCTCTGTTATATGGAAGTAGGTCCACAAGAATGTGTGTCATGAAGGAATCTTCTGGTGTATACTGAGAACAAGAGGATTTTGCATAGATTAACATTTTTTCAAGCCCAGTCTATGTCACTTGTGATTGCATAGACATGGCTCTTGGAGGCTTAACCTGGCATCTGGTCTTAACATGAGCAGCCCTGCTTTAATCTACTTTCCACTCCGCCACCCTCCATCCTGACAAGATAGTCTAATTACGGCAGATGCAGGGTTGTGAACTGTGGTTTACTCTTCTTAAAAAAAAATGACATTAACATTGCTGTAATCATGCTTTAGCTGCATACATTAGAGATTTCTTCCCTAGAGCCCCAAACACTTTGCAAATGTGATCTCATTAACCCACATGCCTACCCTCTGTGGTAGGTCGGCCATCTTGACGGCATTCGGGAATTGAATTATGCAAAGAGAAAGTGGTGTCTTCAGAGCTGCCTGCCAGCTGGGGATGGGATCAGGATGAACATAAAATCTTAGAACTTTACAGGGCCCTGGATATTACCTGGTCTGACATCCTCAACAAATAAACAGGAAACTGAGGCCTGGAGGGGCCATGCTACTAAACTCCAAGGTTCTCCACGGCCAAATGTTAATCACCTGGGAAGCTTAAAAATAATATTATCCAGGTTCCACTCCAGATCAATGTAATCGCAGTCTCTGGGACCTCCCCACATCAATGATTTTAAACGCTCCTTAGGTGATTCTAATGAATAATCATGGTTGAGATTTAGCTGGACAACAGCAGACCCAGGAGAAGCCCCATTCATTCACCCCAGTCTAGGGGTCTGCCCATGGCTTCACTTTGTCATTCTCCACCATACAGTTTGGTTTATGACAGAAGTTCTTGAGGTTTTAATCCAGGCTGGCATCTTTCATACAGGAAATAATCGGGGTAATTCCTTGGCTTTTCACTTCATTTCACCAGCACAGGCACATTGTAAAGCTGTGGCAACATGGTGCAGAAGTAACTGTGTGACTCTGCCAAGCCAGTCAATCAACTGGTCAGTTCACTGGACAGAATCAGTCAAATTGGTTGGTTGGCTGATTCAGCCATTCCGGATAGAATAGCCTGCCTGGTTGGCTAAGTGTGGTCATTACTCTTCTAGACCTTGCCTTTTACAAGGAGGTGTGATGATATTTATTTTCCATCATAAGCTCAGTGCTAGGGAGCACTGGAGATTCTCAGCATTTGCTCTGTAAAAAAATAAATGAAATGATATCCTCTAGCATTACAAGCATTAGAGATTCAAGAGTTCATCACAGTGCCCATAGGAGGTGCTCAATAAATGGTAGTAATTATGGTGTTCATATTGCCTTGGGATATTGCAATGACCTAGACTCAGACCCAGGCAGCCACGCATAGGCATGTGCATACAGACACACACACACACACACACACACACACACACACACACACAGTGTACCAGGATGGAGCATGTTTTTAGACTCGGCCGTTTGCAAAACTTAGCTAAAGTTGGTGGTGGAAGGAAGAAACAACCAGTCTACTAACTCTTTTACCTTCAGAAAGAAGTGTCAATATAGAAAGTGACATTGGTTAGAGAACTGGAAACAAAAACCATAAAGCTCTGTCTGAATAAGAAAACAAGGTTACTTCTTAGGCTGTATTTGAGGTTCAGCTATAATGGGTCCCTTGGCTCTTGTTCCTTAGCCCTCCAGGTTGTAAAGCTGAAGTCCTTTGACCCTGGAATCTGGGATTACCTGTCCTACAGCTGCAGAAGCTCTTCCTGTCCCTTTCTGTTCTATTATGACAGTCAGTTAGTCTTACTGAGGTTCTTTGAGTCTCTTTGCTATGTTCCCAGAAATTCAGTCTGCATCGGTTGCCTGTGAACCTTTCCTAATCCCTTGTTCAAGAGCTGGGTCCTTGTCTAGTTCCCTCCCTTTCGCTTTCTCATGAATACCCAAGTCCCTATATAACTTCTAATTTCTCCCAGACCCGGGAGTCCATCGTGCAAGCAACAGAAATGGAAAGGGAAAGAAAGCAACTGTTGCTCCTGGTCTCCACAGCAGGCTGTTGGGATCTGTCTAGACCTCTCTGGTTTTGGCAGCTAGACACTCGTTCCTTCTCTGACAAGGAATGTCATGTTAATCTGTCCACTGGAATATCCCTCACTGCCTGCCTCCCATGACATTGTAGCCCTTCCTGTCATGACAGGTGCTGTGGCTATGTGGCCAGGCCTCGACCCACCTCACGAAGCACTCAGCGAGTTATCACTATGCTCCTTAATCTAACCAGCTGTACTACAGCCAGATGGCTGGATAAGCTAAGACAAGTTCGTTTGTTGTCCTTATAGACAGGTCATAGGCTAAAGAGCAGACAGAGGCTGTGAGGTACATCTCTTAGCAATTGTGATCACTGCTTGTTTCAAGAAACTTTTTTTTGCCTTTATACAAATCCCTGGTGTCTGCTGCAAATGATGATGTGTTTTCATTTCCATGACTATGTCTATGTGCCACACCTAACCAATATTTCCATATACTAACACTTTGAATTAAGGTGTAGGTTCTAATCTCACTTGAATGGAATTCATGTTCACAGAAGAATACCAAAGATTATTGGTGATTTTGATTCCATTCTTCTTTGGTTGGGACATTTGGTTGGGATGTAGGTCATTTGGTCCCACCCACATTTTCAGCATCATTTCTTCTTCTTCCTTGGAGGACCACTTAAATATTCTCCCTTACTTAACCCACCCTACTGTCTTACAGCCTCTTATCTGCATACTTACTGCTTCCTCTCTACAGACTGTCTTTTTCTCATTCTCTTCCTGGCTAACTCTGACTCATTTTCTAAAATCTGACCCACGAATGTATCAGCTCCCTTGTAAAGCCTTCCTGGGCTACTCTCTTTCCCTATGCATACGTCCCATGGACCGCTTGTCATATTGCTGTGAGCTCCAAGGAAAAGCCTGTGCATTGTTTATCTTCACATACATGATGTGTGTAGTATGAGTCCAGTAAGTGCTTTGGTGCCAGTGTATACATTTAACTGCAAATTAATAAACACTGGCCTTGGATTGCCCTTTGTGACTTTTGGCTCAGTCATAGAAAAACATTAAGTAGCTTAAGGAATAAAGCCCTAATTAATTCATCTTTGTATCCCCTACCCAGCACCCAGCACTGTGTCTCGGACATAGTAAGTACATGTATTCTAGATGAACAATCACTAGATAGATTATTGCAGTGCTAATGTGCCTTGCCTAAAAATGGTATTTGCTTGGGTTAGATCGAACCTGATGTGAAACATGTATGAAATTGGACTTCAAGAGGCTTCTTTCTGTTGAGGGGGCTTCCATTCCCTTTCAAAAAACTCCCAGGGAAGGCCGGGCATGGTGGCTCATGCCTGTAATCCCAGCACTTTGGGAGGCCAAGGCGGGCAGATCACGAGGTCAGGAGATCGAGACCATCCTGGCTAACATGGTGAAACCCTGTCTTTACTAAAAATACAAAAAATTAGCCAGGCGTGGTGGTGGTTGCCTATAGTCCCAGCTACTCGGGAGGCTGAGGCAGGAGAATCGCTTGAACCTAGGAGGTAGGTAGAGGTTGCAATGAGTCAAGATTGTGCTGTTGCACTCCAGCCTGGGCTACAGAGCAACACTCCATCTCAAAACAAACAAACAAACAAAACAAACAAACAAAAAAAACTCCCAGGGAAATCCTCAGAACATTTGTCTATGTAAACTCAATAAGCAGAGTGAATACAAGGGAACTTTTCATTAGCATTTATTTTCCACCTGGACTTTGGGCTCCCACAACTGAGACTCTGACCTCCTACAGTCGGGGACTACATTATTCACCTTTTCCTTGCCTCACCCAGCACAGTACACAATTGGTGCTTTATAAATGTTTACTGAGGGAGTGGCCACGTGGTGATCTCTACACAACTCCTGGAAGCCCTCCAGCACCGTCGCTCTTAACACACATCTAGGTATAACATTGATTGCTGCGGATGCCATTTCCTTTCTAGGAGAAGTTATTTGTTCAAGTGCAACTTGCTGGCCTTTGCATTGTCCTCTGAAAAGAATCCCTGATGGCTGTGCAGAGGCTTTAGTTAAATGGAATAAGATGGTTTCCATTTTCATATAGTTAGAGAGTGCCACTCATGTTGGCTGATGAGTGCTGGTTAGGGCTATGGGAGGATCTCCTATCCTTCTCGGGTTCTATAGACATTTCAGATAATATAAGGGAAAGAAACGAAAAGACTGGATGGGAAAAGGAAGAAAAAAACTAACCTAGGCAAAGAAAATGAATACAAGAAAACTCCAAGGGACGTGAAAATCGGTAGCATTCGTCATTAAAAGGGGAACGTCAATCATCCTTAGTCTCGTTTTTTCTTCATTGTGTGCCTGAGTGAAGGCGAAAATGGAAATGACAATGGCGAAAACTTTTTAAAGCCACTTTATCCAGGAACAGTGAATAAGAAAGATATTTAGTTCCAACCTTGCAGAGAGGGTAATGTGTGTGTGTGTGTGTGTGTGTGTGTGTGTGTGTGTGTGTGTGTGTATACTCAAAAACATTTCCCCCTATGTAAATGATATTCCCCCTGAATCTCTCCTGTGCTTCCTGATACCAAGGGAATGAAAGATAGGGGAGCAGTCAGAAGTCACAGAGAGTTTGCTGACGGGAGGCCGGGGGTGGGGGGTGGTGAGGGTCAGTAGTGTGGTAGTGGTCTGTGGCTTTGGGGCTTATACTAAATTAATTTTCCCACTGCAGGATTCATTTTCAACCCCATCTACTTTCTTTCTTGGTCTCAGCCTTGCAGCCTGCACACATTTGTATGCTTTGCTTCTTGTTTTACGCATTTTTGCAAGTCACATGGACTTATGCCCATGTAACTCACCTCTGTTAATGCAAGGTTGTGTGAAAGGTTGTGGACAAATGGAACTTTTGTAAATCGAATCATCTTTCAGATGTATTTGGGAGCTTTCTATTTAACAGAAGGTAGGCTTGAGTCTTGGGCAAAATGAAAAAGACTTCAGCAATCTCACTCACATTCCAGTTTGTTTCTTCTGAAAGGTAATTTTGTGTTTTTATCGCCAATTTTCTTAAAGCTGAGTCTGGTTTTCCTGAAGCAACAACTGTGTGCCTGCTGTTTGCAGGATATCGGTATGTTCTGCTGAAATGGCTCCCACCTCCCCACTCCCCTCATATATACCAGGAAGTGCCTGGGACAGAACTGTCCTCTGCTTGTGTCTAACTCCTTGTACCCATGAGCTTACGTGCACCAGGATATCAGCAGTGCTTAGAGGCAGGTAGGGGAGAGAGGGCAGAGTCCTGTGAGAAATCTGTGGCCAGAGTGTAGGCCCAGCTCTCCGGATGTCTAAGCCAGTACTTGTCCCTCTTTTTGCTATGCTGTCCCCCACAGCAGGATCCATCCTGAAAAGGGATACTTCTTGTCAGTGGTTCAGGGCAGCTCGACTTGATCCTCCCTTCTGTGTCAGAGGCACATTCAAAACTGCTGGTGGAAGGAGATACTGCCTCTGTGGATTTCTCGTAGGTCTTCTAGTTGAGCCATGCTTTATAAACTAAAGCAGAAGAGAGCACTGCATCTCTTGCTAAACAACAGGGAGAATGGTTTAGGAGGCACTATAACGTAATAACATAGTGCAAAGGCTAGGTTGGATTCCTGGGTTCAATCATAGCTTCAAATAATTAGCAGTCTGAACTTGGATCAGTTCTTTGTTGTTGTTGTTGTTGTTGTTTTTGTTGTTGTTGTTGTTGAGACGGAGGTCTTGCTCTGTCACCCAGCCTGGAATGCAATGGTATGATCTCGGTTCACTGCAACCTCTGCCTCCTGGGTTCAAGCGATTCTTCTGCTCAGTCTCCCAAGTAGCTGGGATTACAGGTGCCTGCCACCACACCTGGCTAATTTTTGTACTTTTAGTAGAGACAGGGTTTTGCCACATTGGCCAGGCTGGTCTTGAACTCCTGACCTCAAGTGATCTGCCCGCCTCAGCCTTCCAAAGTGCTGGGATTACAGGCGTGAGCCACTGTGCCCAGCCTGGACCAGTTCTTTAACTCCACTCAACCTCAATTTCTTCACCTATGAGACAGATGTGTTCCTACCAGCCTCAGAAAACTGTGAATATTATAGAAAATGTATATGCAGCATGATAGGTGCTAGATAAAGAGAAACTCTCGTCATTCATGTTTATTAGCACTAAAGTTCCTTTCATCCCATCTTTGTCTTGTTGTCTACTTTGTCTACACTTTCATTTTCTGTTATACTTCTCTTGTGGTTTCCTAAAGACATTTTCTTAGTTCTATCTCCTTGCTCCCTCATTTCTTTCTTTCTTCTTCTGTCTCCCTCTCTTTTCTCTCTCTCTCTGTCTCTGTCTCGCTCTCTCGTTGTCTCGCTCTCTCATATCTAATATCATGGCATTCCTGTTCTTTCTTCTATATAAGAATTACAACATTTCAAAGCTGAAGTAGCCCTTGGAGTTTCTCAGTTCTAGCTCCTATGTGTGAGATGAGACAACTGATGCCCAGGGAAATTAACATCTTACACACGACTGCCACTTGGTGGAATCCTGGAGGACTGGGATGGGTGCTCAGGCCACCTGCTCCGTAACAACACTTTGTCCCTGGGGGTGACCGTGGGAGGGAGGGTCCTCTATCCCCAGGGAACCCAGTGAGGACAGGGATGTTACAGTTCTTTGTCTCCCTAAAGGGTAGTGTTTTTCCTGTGTCCTTTCGAACTCCTCGGGAGCACTTTATATTTCAAAGCTTTTTGATAAAACAGCTAAACCAACTCCTCTCCTGGGACAGCAAAACTCAGTAGAGATTTCTCACAAAATTCTCTTATTGTTGGACTGGACTGAGGATATTTTTAATTTTTTTCTTGCAATCAAAAAAATTTACAGTCACTCAGCATGGATAGTACATCATGAATGGGCAGTTGTGGGTCTTTGATCTAATTTTTATGTGTCTGATTTCTCAATAATAAATGGGCTTTTGTTAGGAGACAGGTTGACACTTACTGAGTTTGCTCTTTATGGGTCTGTAGTGAGTTGGGAGCCACCTGTGGATGTGTTCTCTTTTCTTGGTCCTACAGCAAAACTGTGACTTGACACATAATTGAACATTGTTGCCTAGGCCCTTTCAGTATTCCAGGCATTTGAAAAGAGAGAAAACTGTGTTCCATCCAAGAGAATAGCATCGAAGCTAAATGTCAGGTGACAATTTAGCATAGTTGTGACTGATATGATCCATCACAAAGGGGGGAAGAACTATTGATTATGATGTAGATGAGAGAAAAACACATCCCAGAGACAAAAGTAGGAAAAAGCGAAGAGCCCGTAATGTAACCAGTTGTCTTTAAGTCACTGCCCTTGAGGAATGACAAACGCCTTGCACTGGCTCAGATTTCTTTGAACAGCCTAGAAACAGAACACAACACTGCTACCATCGCAGGCAGGAGTTATGTTAAAGAAAGATGTTTTGAGTAATGTTCATGAACAGCAAAATGGCTCACACAACAGGACATCCTTCTAGAATATGGTCAGAGGGCATTCTGCAAAAGGGCCTGAGAATGAGGACTGGGGAAGAGGAACTGGCATAAACATGTCAAGAAGGCTCATTTGTCTATACTCTTGAAAGGTGAGATGAGAGGCAGAGGCACACAGAAGGCTGGCTCTGGGGAATGATAATGGCATTTGAAGCTTTTCACTTCTGTGTAGGTCACTGGCTCACTTCAAAGCCTAACTGCTCGAAATGGTTACTGCTTGATGGCTGATGGGAAATTAGGTCCTGGCTTTCAATCTGCCTCCTAAAGGTATTCCCTGGGAATTGGTCTCCCTTCCTGGAAGACTGACAAAGGCTGGGAAAGGCAACAGGTACATAACTGTTCTGACGCCAGAGGGGATCTTGCTGGAGTGGGGCGGGGTTAACGCTGGCCAGGCACAGGAGAGGGAAGGCCGCGAGGGGCTAGTGATGGTGGTGAATGGGTGCGGGGCACCAAAGAAGAAAATGCTTTATTCCTGCAGCCCCTGGAAGTGTGAGGGCTGCAGGAATCCTGGGGCCACCAGTGGGCTGACCAGCTTGGGGACCATAGACAGCAAGTTGGATGGAGTCCCATGAAGAAACTCATGCCTGGCTCCAGAGGGCACAGTCCTCCTTATAAACCCACAGGTCTCTTCACCCTACCTCTCTCTGATCCACCTCTGGCTCCCTGACTCCAGAGAATCCTTGTCTAATCTCAGGGCAGGCAAGGCTGATTGATGGGCTGTGTTCCAAATCTCTTACTTAAGACTCTTGCAAAGCAATTTAGCTCTTAGAATTAAACAACATTTTTGTGTTTCTATTATTGTCCCCCCTCCCCTGAGGCAATGACATGAGGAAGAGATAGGGTAAGCAGATAAGGGGAAATCTATGGAATAAAAAGCACCTCAGTTAATATCTCCAACTGTCAATCCTGCTATACTTCCCTACTTGTTTTTCTTTTGACACTAACTTGACTCCTGGGCTTTTGAAGCTTGCACTCAGGCTGTCGGGGCGACCACTGTGGGCCCAGTTCTTTCTGTCTAGAGGAAACTCCCTGTGGGCAGTTCATACACCCAAAAGCTGTGAGAAGGTTTATTTTGTGTCGTAGGACAGGTTAGCAGAGGACAGGAGACAAAGAAGACAGCCCATGGAGAATTTGGCTAGAGAAATTCTCTCCTGATCCCCCAGCTTTTTCTCTTGCAAAACAGGAGGTATGAGTGTGTTGCACTCAATGATGAGCTACTACTTTATGGCTTACAACCTTTCAGACACAGGTTTAGGAGATGAGAAAAACCTCAGTACCGTTCATCACCCATCATAGGCATGCAGTGTCATTTTTATGTGGGTGAGACAGATTCTTTGTTTGCTTCGCACATTGTAATGATTTGATGTCACTTTGCAGGTGATCTGTTTCTTAAAAAGTGTGCCTATTGCATTGGCTGTGTGATTGCAGGCATGTTCTCTCTCCTTCCTGGAGGTGGGGAGCCTTTTGGTGACATGCAAGGCCCATGCAAGGAGGATGGGGAAACTGGCACACTAGACCTATCAGTAAGCCTGGGAGAAGCCCAGAAGAGTGGTTTCCATTGGTCTCTGGAATACAGAGATTTGTGTAAAAGCTTAAAGGCTGGGGTACAGTTCTTTGAGGGAATCGCCCTGCCAAGGTAGAGGGTGGGATAGAAAACAAAGATGGTGTTCTCTGGAACAAGCTGCTGCCTCCACAGCCCTGACAGATGTTGAGCAGCCTTCATGCTCTGTCTGGATAGTAAGTGGGTGTCTTTTAAATATTTGTGTGTAAGTTTCTCTCTCACTACCCCTTGAACTCCCTGGGGGCAATGTCTGAATCATCTTTGTTCTGTTTATTCTTGGAAGCTTCCAGACATATAGAAGGTGCACAGAAAATCCTTGTTATCAGAATGAATGAAAGGGGAGAGTGAAGCCCAGGGTAGTTCTTTCTTTTCTGAGGATGATGTTTGAATGCCTTGGCATATTTTAATCCATTCCTACCTGACCTTTTCTTTAAACTACACTTAGGCCTCTAGAAAGTCATCAAAGAACATTTTGCTGAAGAGCTGAGGAACTGATCTTAAAAAATTAGAGCTTAGGTTTCCATATAATGATAAAGTCAGAGCTTCATCAACTGAAAAGATGCTAGAAAGATTTGGAGACACTCTCGCCAGTATCATCTTCCTTAACCAGCATGGGCTTTTTGCTGTGGCATCTGTTACCCCGAAACGCCATGGGTTGTGCTAACGTAGCCCGTCAAGTTCAGTGGAGGGCGCTGCTCAGATATCCCTAAGGTGTTCAGGGCTTAGCTCTCCCAACCTGGATTCCTCCTGTGCATTCCTGACTCCATTTGACCCTGTCATGTTGCAGTTAGGCCCGATCAATAATCTTTTAAAATAAGCTTTGCCCTTTGAAAACTAGCCCTAAGCACTTTGCATTCCTTTCTGTTTGAAAAGTTCAGTTTTGTTCCATGCTCAGTTCTAAAAATACCCTAGAGAGGTGGGAGGCCCACGCCATGCAGTTCAAAGCTGCTCCAGTGGGTGAGGGTCTTCAGGGCTTGGCAATGAGCTCACTTGGGTGAATTTATCACCTTCACACTTTCCGGAAATGGGCTCCCTTAGAGACAAAATAGGAAAGTGAGCATTCTGTCCCCTGGCAATCTCAGGTCCATGGACAGGAGGGCTCTGTGCTCGGAAGATGAGGCAGGCACCAAGACCCTGAGGGTTGCTGAAGAGCCTGAGTTGAAAATGGCCCTCAAAAATTTTGTTTTCAAGATGAATGCAGTGTGTAGACACTATTGACTGCAGGTCGATTGATAATCTTCAGTCTGCGTTTTTGAGAGCACCTGTAGAGATCCAGAGTCAATACTCACTGTGTTTGGGGCTGGGATGCTTGGTCCACAATGATGCTGGTTATTTGGTTCTCAGCATTCCCAAGATCAAGGAATCTTGTCCCAAAGCCCCATAAATGTAAGACAGTTTCCTGGTGTCAGTGAAGTAATACATTTGTTCCCTTTGCCTATAATTGTCCCAAAGTGGCTAGCAGAGGTCTAATCTCTGTTTTTACTCGATGTCCTTGGAGAATGAAGGCACAATGAGATATAGGCTGTTCAAGCACTGAGCTTTTTACACTCTGTTTATCTGATTCTTCTCTCTAATTAAAGTTACCTTCTATACTTGATTGGTTTTTAAAGCCCAATATTTGGCAATTAAACCTTCTTTATTCTAACAACTGTGTGACATTTCCCTGAGTGATTTAGCACATGATATATTATCTGCAGAACCAAAGACTGGCTTCCTTGGGGAGCTTCTTTTGCAGAATTTGATGTCAGGTGACTTCTCTAAACATCCACCGAGCATTCTGCAGAGAGAATGATGCAGACTCTATTCAGGAGTCCGTATTGCTGGTGAAGAGAGAGCCTTGGCTTGAATTCGGACTCAGGAGACCCCATTTAATCCCCAAATGAAGCTACTTTTCTAAAGCCCCCTCGAGGTATTTGAAAGTGCACACCTTTTTATCTGTGTCTGTTCATTATAACCAAGGAAGCATGAAGGGTGTCCTTGGAGAAGCCAGCCTGTGCCCACCATAACAGCAGTTTAGCCCACTCAGCCCAGGCCCCAGGTGGGGTGCTAGAGGCTCTTGGAGCACAGAGCGCTTCCAAATAGGGCTGTCTGATACACCAGGAGCAAATTATTTCGACTTAACCCTTCCTAGAGGCCTAGTAAAACCACCTCAAGGTTTTCTTTCTCTTTTTTTTGTTTTTTTGTTTTTTTTTTAGACGGCGTCTTGCTCTGTCACTCAGGTTGGAGTGCAGTGGCACGATCTCGGCTCACTGCAAGCTCCGCCTCCCAGGTTCCTGCCATTCTCCTGCCTCAGCCTCCCAAGTAGCTGGGACTACAGGCGCCCGCCACCACGCCCGGCTAATTTTTTGTATTTTTTAGTAGAGACCGGGTTTCACCATGTTAGCCAGGATGGTCTCGATCTCCTGACCTCGTGATCTGCTTGCCTCAGCCTCCCAAAGTGCTGGGATTACAGGCGTGAGCCACCGCACCCGGCCTTAAGGTTTTCTTTATTCCATTTTCTCTCAGACAGGAAAACCCGTGGCAGGACGCACGGGGGGTTCAGCAGGCACAGACATTGTAATACAGCCCCTCCCCTTTCCTTATAAGAGTGGATCCTATTTCCTATTCAGGTTTGTTCAATTTTTGATGGACAGAGTTGTAGTGTTGCCTTTTCTAGGCCATAGGAAACTTTCAGCTGCCATAGGAATGAGGGTGCGAAGCAGATAGCAGCCACTGCACAGAAAAAGCATCAGTGTGCTCAATACTTCCTCCCCACCTCACTCCTGCTGCACACACACTTGCACACATGCATGCACGTGTATGTATGTACACACACATACACACACGATGCCTGCACCCACGCATGATGGCGGCCAACCTGAACCATCTAGGAATGCACACAGAACTCCACCTCCTGCTCTGTTGGGAAGTCATCTTCTCCAAATTTAGCATTTGAACCGAAATTTAGTCTGTGACCATGACCCTTCCTTGGAGCCTGGTCCAACCACATAGGCATTCTTTATTTGTTTGAGAGTGTTTTCAGTCTTTTATCCTCACATATGAGGTCAGAGTGATGCTGAAGGGAGGTTAAATCACTGCCATCAACAGCATTGGATTCGCTTAGAGGTGATTAACTCTGCCACCTGCCACCAAGGACTGCAGAGCGCATCCTAATGCCTTTGTGTTTCCTGTGCTGTGAATGCAAATGATTTTAGGGGGTTTCTCCTAGACTTGTTGTCCTGTCCTGAGGACTCCCCTGGGGAGGATAACTGGAGCTATTGAAGACCCGCTGTAGTAATTCTGGTGTGTTTGTAAGCTTCCTCAGCAATAATTCCCTACCTGGAGCTGAGGTGTCCCCCTGCTACCTGGAGTACTTTTGCATCTGAGCATCACTGTTTTTGCCAGGTGGAAGGCTGGACTGGTGTATTGGGATGGCTCAGAAAGCAAGGGCCTGCAGGAATAATCCCTGAGACTATTGATCTGGGAACTTCTGGCTGAGATCGTTCTGGGGTGAGCTCACAGGCTTGGGCAGTCAGAGCTAGAAAGGGTTCTAGTGCCTCCTTACTTAAAGTGTGGCCTGAGGACCAGAAATAGCATCATCTTGGAGCTTGGCAGAACATAGCACCTTAGACCCCATCCTAGACATTCTGAGTTCAAATCTGCATTTGAACAAGATTCTCAGGTGATCTGTAGGTATGTTCCAGTAAACAGCCAGTCAGTCTGTCCCTCATCTTATGAGATATTCTTTTGACTGTCCTTCTGAGATACATTGCACCAAGAAAATGCCCACATGGGGAAGAGAAAGCCAGCCAGTCAGCGAGAAGTTGCTGCATGAATTTCTGACTCAGGTTTCTGGGTGGTAGAAGACCCTAGGTACCTAGCAATAAGCAAAATAGATGGATGGCAAGAGGGGATGTAGAGAGAAGGTCTGCACAAACTTCACCTTCTCTGACATTCACTTCTCTTCTTCTTCCCTACAAACTAGCTGCCAGTGACTCACTGTCAGGTGACCTCAGCCAGTGACTCGTAGGCTGGGTGATGATTTCAAGAGACCCTGGTCTCTAAGAAGGTCATGATGTACCCTTTTTCCTACTCCTGCCATAGAATCAAAAATAAAATAATAGTACATTGCAAAATAGGTTATTAAAAATCTAATAGGATTCTGATTTTCTCCTGGATGAATATTTTGATTCTTGCTTTAAAATAGCAAATGCTAGTTTAGTGTATGAGCCCCTGATGCCCTCCCTAAGCACATACTCAGCTTCCCACTGGGTGCCAGGCCCTGCCCTTGCTGTAGTTTGAGGAGACACATTCTTGAGACTAGATGAGGAAAATCCCGACTCCATGGCCCCCTACCAATTACAGAGCTAGTTGATGGTAGATTGGGGGTCAGAACCCTTGTTTCTGGGGTTCCACCTGGATTCTTAGGTCACAAGTAGTCCTGGTTCACCTGGGCAAGGTGGTATCCTGAAGGAATCCTGAAATTTTCTTAGCTTCTAGGACTTGACGTGAACTAAGACTTGGGGTTTGGGCTTGTTTTTTCTTTTTCTTTTTTCTTTCTTTTGTTTTTTTGAGACAGGGTCTTGCTCTGTTGCCCAGGCTGAAGTGCAGTGGTACAATCATAGCTTACTGCAGACTTGACCTCCCAGGCTCAAGCAATCTTCCCACCTCAGCCTCCTGAGTAGTTGGGATTACAGGCATAAGCCACCATGCCCAGCAAAATCAGGACTTGTTTTGAGTTTATCCATATCTTAGCCTCCGGGAGCTAATGAGAAACAGATCTGACTCAGATTTGAAATAAGCTAACTATACATTCAACCACCATCATTTCACTCCCATTTGCCATGAGCGAGAGGGACAAATTAGCCCTCTGACCAAAGTGGTGCAGGAGGTCAGAGTGGATCAGAGAGAAGCTGCCCTCCCAAAGGCTGTTTTCAAACTATCGTCTGCCACTGTTTCTTGCTCAACGCTGAATCAAGGTTAGGATTGGAAGGAATGAGGAGGGGGTTTACCATTGCTGTTTTTTACTTTTAAATTGATTTTTGATGAACAGCCTTCTCTCTTATGCCTAAATAGCCAGTTTAATCATCACAATGTCTTGTGGGAGTAAGAAGCTTCTTTTTTTTTTTTTTTTTTTTTTTTTAACAAAATTCCATTGCATTTTCTTAGCGTAGTTACAGTTCCATATTAGGGTTACATATGTCATGCTTCTTCCAGGAAGGTCTGAATATAATTAAGCCTTGTGCTGTGCCTCACATCATGCCTTGCAAGGAGAAGGTGATCAACATTATGTCTGATTCAGCAAAAGGCTTGTAGTACCATCAATAACATGGTTTGCTGCTTCAAAAGTGGCAATCAGAAAAGTCTCTCTCCATCACTGCCTTCCAGATGTTACCCTAGTATACCTGGGAGTTTCCTGGGTTATGTCATGTGACTTTTTCAAAATGCTCAAGAATGTGTGAAATACCCCATGGTGCCCTGACCTTTATGATTCTCCTTCACTGCAATACTTACTAAAACTTTAAACTACAGTCATTGATCATTCTACTATCCACTGGGTGGTTACTATCCATTGCCAGCCCTGTGCTAACCACTTTACTTATATTAATCCTCACAATAGGCTATGGACAGGTACAATTACTATCCCCATTTTACAGATTAAGTAACTTTCCCAAGGTCACCCAGCTAGTAAATGGGGAAGCAGGGATTTTTACCCAAAGAAGTCTGTCTAGAAGAGTCCAAGTGATTAACTAAGCACTGCCCTAAAGGTATAAACAGAGAGACCCATTCTCTCTTTTGATTTCTGCTTTTGTTTTTGTTTTTTTTTTTTTGTAGGGGGAGGGAGTCCACTCCGATCCTACATGGTGGAACAGGTTTCTGACTATGAGGAAAAGCTTTGGGGTATAACATCTAAGGCTTCATTCATGTGGTATGCAGTTATTTAGGAGGGATTTCCTTCTACCCTGGTGGCATGACAATCTCCAATTCCTTTGGTTAGCAAAATAACAAGACTGTCAGGTGTTTTGTTAGCAGAAATTATGGACTTCAGTGAAACATTTCTCTGACTTTCCAGTTAAAGAATGGTTTGCTCAGAGTTAACCAAGACCTGAGAGTTGGAAGGGAATTTAAAGGCCCTTTTGTTCAAATCCCCATCTAATTCATGGCTCCTTTTATAACCTTCCACTGAGCATAATGTTGTATTTTGGTTTATCTTTTAGTCAGTCAAAGGGGACCTTGTGCTTATTGACACTTTCAATGATTAAAATAAGAATTCTTTTTATTTGGTCTTATTCTGAATCTTTAACCTGGATTTCTTGTCTCCATCTTTTCTCCCCTTAGGCCCTATTTGTCTGCTTAACATGAGCATCTGGGTTAACTATATCCACAAAGAAATCTATTCTTTTAATTATAGAATGAACAACTATATAAATTTACATTAACCCATCCCCGATTCAGAATTTTAGAATCATCCCTTTTGGTAACTCTTCGGTGAAGTTTGTTTCAGCTACTAATTTTTTTTCTTGGAAGTAGTTACGTCATCCATTTTCAAAAAGAAGTCATATGTACTCAACAGAAACTCTTTAATTACGGGTGTCAGTATCCATCTTTGTCTGGTCTAGAGTGGTGCCTTTCGCATTCTACTGGAAGGAATTTCTCAGGCGCATGGCATTGTATTTTTACCTCCTAGGCCCACCTCACAGTCCAAATGTCAGCACTTTATGGAAAGAGAACTGGGCTCAAAGCCAAAACAACTGAGTGAGTCCCAGGTTGGATTCTGCCCTAGGACCTTGGTCAAGGCATTAACCTTTGGGAATCCTGGTTTCTTCTTGAGAAAATAGCCACTCTGCCAGCTCTGCCCTTGTCATAAGGTTGTTGAGAGGCTCAAAACAGAGATGTATGTCAGAGCACTTAGTAAACTGTAACATGGTATGGCAATAGGAGGTCAAAGCACTGGGTTCCCAGAATGATTACGATGTGGGTATGTGGGAACCAGAGAACAAGAAAGCCCCACAGCTTCAACCCCACAGTGGATTCTTGTCCTTCTAGAGTGAGTGTCTGCAGATGTCTTGGCAGGGGAGGGTGGTTGGAATTAAGTTGCCTCAGAGATTAACGTTCCTGTCAGTCAGAAATGTGTCAGTCAGGGAGTTTCAAAGCAACAGGGGGGAGAGAATGAGCTGACAGTCATTTGTAAAAATTTAATGAGCACTAATTAAGCATCCTGTTTGTAAATAGCACCAAAGATAGCATTATATAAATGCCAACCTGGACCGTTTTTGGGAAGTGGCATTAGGCACAGGTGAGCTGCTCTGGTTAGCACTGTGCCTTGCCTGCAACAGCTCTGAGCATCGATGGGCAAGGGTCTTATTTATATCTTTTAGAACTTTTCCACAACAGACTAGCTCTCCATTGAATATTATCTTATCAAATTATGTTTTTCTCAAGATTTTGATAAATCTGGCACCATCCCAGTTCTAAGACCTTCTCTTGAAAGAAGCCTTCACATTAAAGACGTCTTCAGAGATCCTCTTCCTTCTCCTTGTTCCCTTCACGATTCTAAATTAATCTCTTCCTCTTTGAAGTCTTATTTTTTATGATGCGTTTTAAAAAGAATAGAATTTCATAGGGAAGTTGATGAAACAAAATTCAGCCAAAAATGCATTTAGCACTTAATGCCATAAATATTTCAGTTGTCTTTCCCATCATCCATCTCAATGGATGGATGTTTTACTTATATTTGTCTGAAAAATAATGATTCTGTCAGTTATCAATAATCTTTAACTTTATGCTAAAGAAACTCATCATTATCTAATGAGTTTTGCCCTTTGCGGTCATCAGTGCCAGTGTCCTTGGAGGAAACTCACCAAAACTGAAGTCAGTCGAGTCAGACCTGAGACTTAAAGACCTAAAAGCAGAGACTTCCTCTATCCTGGTAGCAACAAGTAAAGAGGGGAAGAGAGAGGTCACTTCCTAGAACAGAGGGCCCCTGAAAGATTGTTTTGGCCAATTCTCTGTTTCTACATAGGATTTCTCATTCCTCATTCCTGAGCAATTGCTTATAGGTACACTGGTGTGCTGGTAAGTGTTGAACAACTAGTTCTCTAAAAAGAAAAAAATGTGTGTGTGTGTGTGTGTGTACATTTACTGTGTATTTTACTGATAGAAAAGATGTGTAGTGTACAATTTACAAATAATAAAATATTCTTTTTTGAAAATTCCAATGGATTCTCACAGAATGCTTTTGTTGATTTTACCAAAATTTGTATTAATAGTCAACATATGGTTGTAATTAACAAATGAGTATAGTTCCAACATCAATGTTGGTTGGTGTTTTTGTTTACATTGACAAGCAAGACAACAGTGAAACAACAAAGATAAATGTGGGAACTCCAGCACGTCGTTCCACAAATCCCATTTTCCTAGAGTTCTGAGGAGGAAGAAGTCATTCCCCCTACACAGAAGTCCTTGTGTTGCATGGTAAGCCAGTCCTCTGCTTTGATCATGAGACCAGGTAGGAAAATATTATCAAGACCTGTAAGAGGCTGGGGCACTTGAAGAACTGAGATTCATTCTTTCTTTAAGTTCTAACATGTTATCAAATTTTATACATGCCCATTGTTTAAAAAAGCAAATAGTGTATAAGGCTTGTCGTGAAAAACAGTAGTCCTCTACCCCTTACCCTCCATCTCCTCTCAGCAGCGAGACGCCCTTTAACTCTTTCAGCTGTTTTAGGGGGGCATACAGCTAGACTTCTGTAAATAATACACTTGTGTTGCTGTTTCTTGATTTGCCATTTTAAACCCTTTCCATGGAATTCCCACTATGGTGAGGAAGTGTGGGAGGCGAGGAATTGGTTCACTCCACTCGCATTCTCCACCCCACCCCTGCATCTGCATATGTGCCAAGACATGCCTTTAATTTCTCTTCACTCTTCCAATAGAGCTAAATTTTAATTTCATTCAAATCAATATTCAGTGTTTATATTATATAGCAATGCAAATGATATTCATGACTAAGCCTTTATTTTTCCTTTCATGAACCATCTTTTATTTTCCCTAGAGGTTTTGCTTTGTTTTTGTTTTGCTTTGTTTGATATTTACATTTAGATTATATTATGTCCTTTTATATTAGCTTAGTTTCCTCTGATTGTATCACTGTGTCAACCTCAGACTCTGCCAGTTGTCTGTATTTCTAATCCAAGTATCAGAAGCCTCTGCCATCCCACCAATCTCATCTTCAAGAAATCTCTCCTGGAGCCCTCTTCCCTGCTCCCATCTGGGTGGGTTGTCCTCTGGCATCCTGGGCCCTGCCATCTGCCTCATCTCGGGAATTCTCTTTATCTGGCTGCCCTGTGGGTTAGACCTCTGTCTTTTAGTGTCCAAATGGTACTGGCTGGTACTGAAGGAGCCCCTCCTCAGTCAGCTTCCTGAGAAAGAGTGCAGAGGAGATAAGACATTTGAGGCCCTGCTTATCTGACAAATCCATTATTTTACCTTCATATTTGGTAGTTTCTCTGGGTATAGAATTCCAGGGTGCAGGCTGGGCGCAGTGGCTCATGCCTGTAATCCCAGCACTTTGGGAGGTCGAGGCGGGCGGATCACGAGGTCAGGCAATCGAGACCATCCTGGCTAACACGGTGAAACCCCGTCTCTACTAAAAATACAAAAAATTAGCGGGGCATGGTGGCAGGCGCCTGTAGTCCCAGCTACTCGGGAGGCTGAGGCAGGAGAATGGTATGAACCCGGGAGGTGGAGCTTACAGTGAGTCGAGATCGTGACACTGCACTCCAGCCTGGGCGACAGAGTGAGACTCAGCTCCCCCAACCCAAAAAAAAAAGAGAAGAATTCCAGGGTGCAAGTCATAGCCCTTCAGATTTTGGAAGACATCACTCCATTGTTTTCTGGTCTCTGGTATTACTATTGAGAAGTTCAAAGCCATTCAGACTCATCATCTTTGGAAGGGGTATGTTTTATCTTTCTCTGTCTAGAAGCTTGTTTGATTAGAACTTGTCCTATGTACTCTAAAATTTCATGACACTGTGTTATGGTTTGAGTTTATTTCATTTGTCTTGCAGTATGAACTCCTTTAATCTAGAAATTCAAGTCTTTTGGTTTAGGGACATTTTTTTGAATTGTTTTGTGGTTAATTTTCTTTCCTCCTTTGTGTGTGTGTGTATTTGTGTACGTGTGCATATATGTGTGTATTTGTGTATGTATGCATCTATGTCTGTGTGTGTATTTGCCTATGTATGTGTGCATGTATGTGTACGTGTGTATTTTTCTGTGTATGTGTGCATGTCTGTGTTAATGCTTGTCTGTGTATGTGTGCATGTATGTGTTTGTGTTTGTGTGTATTTGTGTATGTGTGCATGTGTGTGTCTGTGTTTCTGTGTATGTCTGTGTATTTGTGTATGTGTGTGTTTCTGTGTGTCTATGTGTGTGTGACTGCGTGTGTGTGACTGTGTGTGAGACTGTGTGTGTGGCTGTGTGCATGTGTGTGACTGTGAGACTGTGTGTGTGACTGTGTGTCTGTGCGTGTTCTCTTTCTGGCACTCTCATTATTTACATGCTGGGCATCCTGGACTGGTGATTTGCTTTTCTTATATTTCCTGTCCTATTTTCTATCTCTTTATCTTATAACCCTCTGTTGACTTTTCCCATTTCTACTATAATCTTTTTAATTTCACCAGTCTTGTTTTGCTATCATAATTTTTTTATATTATCCAGCTCTGGTTTTCACAAATGTAATTTATCTTCTTTTAAATCTCTCAGCATATTAAATATATTCTGAATATAAAATGTTTTTCTTACATAATTCTTATTTGGTTGCTTTTATCCCGTTTGCTTGATTTGATTGCCATATTTAAACTCAGAGATTTCCCTCAGATGTCTGTCAACACTAGTTTCTGCTCTTAGTAAGAGTAGGACACTAGAATGCTGTTTGGAAGCCCTGAGCTTGTTGTTGGGACGTGTCATCTGTAGGCTTCAGTGTAGGGTGTGACTGGACGACTTTGTTAGAGAATCTTGTGGTCAGTACCTTTAGGTCTTTCCTTTTGAGCTTTTCAAATCCCCTTGGAAAAGCTCTCCTAGTTACCTGCTTAGAGGTATAGGCCTAGTGGCCATGATTCTGGCAATCCAATGGGGAAAGAGTTTGGAGATCTCGGCATTTTGGATACAAAAACTCACTCCTTCCTACACTTGGTAGTTTACCCTCCTCCTCTAACTGTGCCTGGTGTCCCTGGACCGGGAGTCTCCATTTCTCCAATTCCAGATAGTAAAGAAGCCTTTGGTCTCTTGCTGGATATGGGAAGGGGATTTGTGGATCCAGCTGCTTCTTGAATGAACTTTCATCAAGGCTTCTTTGCTTAGTTTCTCGTCCCTCCCACCAACACTCCTAGAGATAGCACAATCAATGCCTAATCCTTTTTAGGAGTTCTGGGAAAATAGGGCTGCTGCTAGGCCTCCACACTATCAGTTGCGGATGCAGCTTTCTGATCACTGTTCAATCAATTGGCTATCAGTCTAGTCATCCATTTGCTGCCCAGTATCTAAACCGCTGTTGCTGTTGTTTGCTTGCTTATTTTCTTTACCCTTGCACATTAATGCCCCCTTTCCTCCTGTAGCATCTCGATGCACATTTATTTCATGTCACGTTTTTGTGTTATCGTTCATTGTAAATCTGTCTGATCACTCCTCTAAAGAGGGAACACCTCTGAAGGAAGCGATGCATCCACATGCTTAATAGTTCTCAGTACTCAGCAGGGGAAGATCACTATGTGCTGAAGTGTGACTACCCTGAGGTCTGTTCAGTAGCCGAGCCAGGCCTGGGGCTAGGTGCTGAGGCTCAGATACTGGTGCACTCGTCTGTGCCCTCAAGGAGCTTATAGGTGGGTGCTGTTTTCTCCTGTCCAACCACAGGGAGCCAACTTCTGCCTGTTGACATCTTGGTGGCTAAAGAAAGAAGTGATGGCTGTAATCGTGAGCTTTCCTTACTCTCTATTTGTCATGAAAAAAGACACAGAAAAAAGTGAAAGTCAGCCTAGAAATGAAGAGACACGTCATTCTACAGACTGATGGGAAAAATAGGGCTGGGGAAAGATGGAAGTCAAGAGACTCCAACCCCTTTCCATATACTTCTTTGCCTTCTTTAATAGGAAATACTGTTTCATAATTTCAAAAGTAATACCAGCTCAATGTGGGAAATTTGAGAGATAAAGAGAACTATGAAGAAAAAATTTAGCCAGATGCTGTGGCTCACACCTGTAATCCCAGCACTTTGGGAGGACGAGGTGGGTGGATCACTTGAGCCCAGCAGTTCAAGACCAGCCTAGGTAACATGATAAAACCCTATCTGTATAAAAAATGCAAAAATTAGCTGGGCATGGTGGTGTGCACCTGTAGTCACAGCTACTTGGGAAGCTGAGGCGGGAGGATCGCTTGAGCCCAGGAAGTCAAGGCTGCAGTGAGCTGTGATTGTGCTCCTGCACTCCAGCCTGGGTGACAGAGTGAGACCCTGTCTTAAAAAAAAAAGATAAAAAGGATAAAGAAAAAATTTAAAGTTACTGTTAACCAGACCACTTTTAACATTTTATTATAAATATTTGCTTATAGGCACATATACATATATACACACACACACACACACACACACACACACAGACATATATAATTTAATAAAATTATAATTTTGTTAAACTATACCTCCTCTTATAGTTTAGATATCAAGTAATTATTTTTTATTGATTTTAATTACCTGGTCAAATTTTGTCCATTTTAATATTTTGAGATTTATCATTTTTAATTAAGAACTTTATATACCAATATAATGGAACTTTGTTGTATCTTTTCCATCAGTGTATTATTTTCCTTTTTTACTTGTATTTTGACATCTTCTGACATATGGAAATTAGTATTAGATTTTTATGCAATCAAGGCTATCTGTCTTTCTTTGCAATGTTTTCTTGCTTTATACCAAGAAAGTATACTGAGTAGATTTCCTGAGGTGGATTCCCTGGGGAGGTTTATTTCTCAAAAAGCCATCAGCTCTCCCTGAAGTTGTTTAATTACCATTTACTGGGCCCCCGTTTACCCAGAATTCTAAGGCTGGCTCAGATAGAAGATGTGGATTGGGCTTTTTAGAGCTCCAGCTCTGCTAAATCTGTTTATTGTCCCGTTTGCCACTTTCACAAAGAGGATGGGCATGCTCACTGCAAGCAGAGCCAGCGACGTGGCCACAGCTGTCATCAGATCTCTAAGCCATGAAAATTCCCTGGGAGCCTCTTGGGATACTCCAGCCGATATCCACCTTCATTTGAAACTCCTAGGATGCTCCCCAGAAGACTCACTAAGACAAGAAATAGCAAAGACTGTTCTAGGCACCAACTGTCACCCGGACAGTAACAAGTCATTTTTCTTCCCTTGTAGCTACCTAATGAGTAATCATCACGACTTCCCCAGACTGGGGCTAGAAGACAAACAATGTTCCTTGGAGTTATGTCCTTTCATCTTGCCTGTTTGACATCCCTGTTGACAGGACACAAGATGCCAGGCCAGATGGCGCCAGGCACATTATACAGATGAGTGGCAGCAGTCCAGGTGTGCCAGGCAGGGGGAGGAGGCAGGGGAGAAACTGGGCATTTCATCACTGGAGTGTACTATAAAGAACATGTCCAGCTGGGGTCTGTCTCTTCTTGAGAGCCTGAGTGACTGATGTCCCAAACAGATTCCAAAATGCCTATTTCACTAAGGGCCCG
Source organism: Homo sapiens (assembly GCF_000001405.40). Lineage (NCBI taxonomy): Eukaryota > Metazoa > Chordata > Mammalia > Primates > Hominidae > Homo > Homo sapiens. The sequence goes on along the minus strand of NC_000002.12, from coordinate 29,767,618 downwards.
GGAAAATGAATACACGCATCCTAATGACTGTATCTTCCATTAGGCCCTCCATGAAGTGAGAAAGTAGGACATATGTTTGTGATGGAAAGAGCACTATGCCAGGAGCCAGAGGCCCTGAGTTCTATGCCTTCATAGGATGACCAGCCATCCTGGTTTTCCAGGGACTGATGGGTTTCCTGGGACATGAGATTTTTCATTTTTAAAATCACAACGGTCCTGGGAAAACTGGGATGATCTCCTTTTCTAGGTATTTGACCTTGACTGTGTCATTTATCCTGCTGAGCCCCCATCTCTTGACATTTATCCCTGCTCTGCCTTTAAAAAGTTGCAGTAAACATTAGGAAGGTATTGGGAGACAGAGTTAAAAGTTGTGTGACCTTGATCAAGTAACTTGGCCTGTTTAAGCTTGATCTTCTTACTAATGAACACTTCATCAGATTGTTGTGAGAATCAAATGAAAAGTAAAAATTATATGTAAACTCCTGATCACAGTGCCTGGTGCATAGTAGGTCCTATTAAAAGTTATAAATAGCTGTGGTTCCTATTTTGTAGTACATTGCCAAAACTAGATGTCATTGTCACTGTAAGAGATTTTGGAGTTAAGAAAGTCAACTCTGCCCTCTTTGGGTTGGATTGCTGTTTTTCCAGAGAGGGGCCAGGTGGAGCCTCAGAAGGCTGGGGTGTTCCACAGCTTCTAGAAGAGCCTTTTGGAGGTCAGGCTCTGGGAAAGTGAGGAGATACACTCAGAAGCTGTCAGCACTGGTCTCCTTTTCTCCTGGACATGGGTTTCAGGTCTGTCAGGGACACTTTCATGCTTTCTGTCAGAAAGTAAATCATGCAGAGGATGGCAGGTGGAAAAGTACATAAAGGATTATATTCAACAATCATTTATTAAGCTTCAGCTTTGCTCCAGGCCTGATACTAGTTACTATGCATATGAAGATGAGGAAGACTCATTCTTACCATATCCTCAAAGGGTTATGGTCCTGCTGAGTAGACAGATCAACATAGATTTAGATCACAGATATTTGTTTAGATGCCATAACAGAGGTGTCTGTGCAATGCTGGGAGACCCAGGGGAAATATTCACTGCCTAGGGTATGTCTTGATGAATGAACAGGAGGTGGTGGGGAAGAGAAGGAGGTTTCAGAGACTGGGGAGTCAATACTCAAATATGTGAGGCAAATATGTTTGTATTGAGAACATGGGGTGATTCATGGTGGCTGGGGGAGAGAAAGGAGCTATGCTGTGTAAGAATAAATGCCAGGCTTGTAGGACTGGAAGATCCTAAGCAGCCTGAAGGGTTCTGAACAACCCCGTGAAGGAGTTGGGATTTGTGGTGGTGCAAAAGGATCCATACCAGATGTTTAAGAAGGAGGCAAGAACCAGATTTCTGAATTGGAACTATTGCTGTGTCCACACAGATCTGTTTGTAATTATGTTCATAATAGCATTGTTTATACCAGCAAAAATCATAATGTTTATGTGGATTCTGTTGAGTTAATTATGCATTGATACAACAAAATACTGTACAGCTAATTAAAATTATATTAGTGATATATATTCATTGGCATGAAAAGACTTTAAAGAGTGTGTTACAAAGCAAGACAAAGCATTTCCACATTTCACTTCAAATTATATATGAGTTTTACAGTGGTGCACTGCAGCCAGCTCACATAAGCTCGCAAGATCTGATTTGCTAGCATCTCTTTCCAAGTCCATGTTCAGTGATATCATGTTGGTAGCATGAAATAAGCCAAGTGGAAGTATTTATTATGGAAATTGCCAAATACTACAAATAAGGGCTTAAAAAAACAGAGAGCTTGTTAAACATCTCCCAGCCCACCACTGTGTATATATAAATATTAAGAGAAAAACCTGAGCACTACTTGTTGATGAGATTAGAGGTTATTTCTTTGCTCATTTGTATTTTCCAAGTTTTTAAAATTGACATGCATTTTTAAATTTAAATTTAAAAAAAAAGGTACTCTTTTTTTATTCTAAAAGCGCCAGGCATGGTGGCTTATGCCTGTAATCCCAGCATTTTGGGAGGACGAGACCAAAGGATCACTTGAGCCCACGAGTTTGAGACCAGCCTGGGCAACGTAGTGGGACCCTGTTTCTGCAAAATAAAAAATAAATAAAAAGAAAAATAAAAGCAAGCTCACTCTGATAGCAGCATCATGATGAGGGATGGGAGCAGAGGTATCAATTAGGAGATCACTTAATCCAACAATCCTGGAGAGAGCTCATGAGAAGCTGGGATAGGGCAGTGAGAAAATGAAGGAAGGGGAGAATTACCATAAGAGGCCACTCTATATACTTCAAAACTTTCGATCATTTTCAGGTGAGAAAGTCATGGAGAATGAATACTTGGGCAATGCTTTCACAGAACTGTATTAGTCCATTCTCACATTGCTTTGAAGAAAGACCTGAGGGTGGGTAATTTATAAATAAAATAGGTTTAATTGGCTCATAGTTCTACAGGATATACAAGAAGCATATTGGCTTCTGCTTCTGGGGAGGCCTCAGGAAACTTATAATCATAGCAGAAAGCAAAGGGGAAGCAGGCACGTCATATGTGGCCAGAGCAGAAGCAAGAGAGAGAGAGAAGGAGGTGCCACCCACCTTTCTAAACCACCAGATCTCACGAGAACTCACTCACTAGCATGAGAACAGCACCATCGGGAGATCTGCCCCCTTGATCCAATCACCTCCAACTAGGTCCCACCTCCAACATTTGGAATTACAGTTTGACATGAGATTTGGGTGGGGACACAAATCCAAATCATATCAATAACCAACAGAAGGACAACCAGAAACAGATTTCATGAAAATGGGGCATCCAAGGATTTTAACATGATATAGCAACCTTAAATTTAAATCCTCTTGCAACCTTATTATTATTGAAGCTGATGACATAAACCAAAATGACTGGACTTGAATGTCTTTGCTTTTGGGAGTCCCTGCCCACCCTAATGGGATATATTAAGCCAGTGACAGAACAACATAAGCAGGCAAGATCCATTATTTTCATATATGTAGTGACTCTCACAGTGCCTGGCCCCAAGTGTGTGCTCTAAGAATGTTTGATGAATGAAGAAATAAAAGGTGAGGCTTCCTCAGTGGTGTGCCGGTAAATGTTGAAGAACTATTTTCCTGATTTGGGACGTTCACTGATATTTGTGGTGTAAATACTCCTACCATGGCCAATTTTAAGCTGTAAGTGTGGTCACCAAACTTGGGATGAGGTGAGGACAATGGGGTCTTGGGAGCCTCTAGGAGAGGATCCAGCATACAACTAGACCACTTGGTACTCAGGGACCACCCCCAGGCACCTCTCTGGCTGGACCCACCCTCCCCACAATCACTTGGAGAGCTCTACTCAGACAGCCCTGCAGTCAACCCAGGGCCTCAGCCTGACCCTTGGACACATGTAATGAATGCCATGGTCCTTGAATTGCATCCTGGTAACATGAGGGGATTGACCCCAAATAGGGACTGCACTGGTAACAATGGGTTAGGGTTGAAGGAAATCTGGATTCTGGTTCTGGGTGACCACAGGAGGTCACAGGATGTCTCTGAGGGTTTGTCCTCTTGCCTGTGTCTTGGAGATAGTGATCTCCACCTCCCCAGGTGGCTGTGAGAGCAGAATAAACAGGGTGTTACGAGAGGGAGTTTCAAAGATCCCTGAAAGTTGGTGTGGGGCCCTGAAGAAGGCTGTTTCTTTCTCTACCCCTTTCTTTCTCCTCCCCTCTGCATTTCCCTCTATTGGCCTGGGCTCTATTGTGTGTGAACAGGAGCCAAGTCACCTTTCAGTGCCCTAGGGTTAGGGGACATGAGTTAAGGTTTCAGGAATCTCAGGGGCCTCAGACAAATCATAACTAAGTGTGGAGCACTACCCTCAAAGCTGATAGGAAAGGGGCAGCGGGACAGCACCCTCAATCCTCGCTATAGCCTGTGACCTGCCAGGCAGGCACTCTAGTTTCCCTTCAGCAGAGGTGCATGAGCTCCTCAAGAGGCAGCTGGGTCTCCAGTGGCCCATAAATGTGGGGGCTGAGCCTGGTTTAATGGGGAAGCACTTAATTTCCTGATTTATGAGGCACTCGTTATTTTTATTAACTGTCCTATTTTATTAGGCCTCATTCATGGACTGAGAAAATCCTTATTCTTACAGTTCTAAATGCCAAGTTCTCCATCCAGGCAGAAAGATCCTTAGAGGTCACATATCTGGTAAAAAGCTAGCTCTCAAAGTGACTAGAAGGAGAATGTTGGCATTTATAATGATTATAATAATGCTATTTAGGTGTCTACCTACGGGCCTCATTCTATACTGATACCATGCATTTCATGTACTCCTCAAAGCAACCCTACATGATAGATACTATTATTCTCATTGTACAGATGAAGAAATTGAGGTCTGGCAAAGGTTTACAACTCGACCAATGTCACACAGCTAGAAAGTGGTGGCACAAGACCCATACCCAGGTCATCTGACTTCAGAGTCCTATTTTTTTTTTTTTTTTTTTTTTGAGATGGAGTCTCACTCTGTCGCCTAGGCTCGAGTGCAGTGGCGCGATCTCGGCTCACTGCAACCTCCGCCTCCCTGGTTCAAGCGATTCTCCTGCCTCAGCCTCCTGAGTAGATAGGACTATAGGCATACATCACCACGCTCAGCTAATTTTTGTATTTTTAGTAGAGATGGGGTTTCACCATGTTGGCCAGGATGGTCTCTATCTCTTGACCTCGTGATCCGCCCGCCTCGGCCTCTCAAAGTGCTGGGATTACAGTCGTGAGCCACTGCGCCCAGCCAATCCCTTTCTTTTAAAGAGGCCCTGCCATAGATGCTTGGAACTAGAAAGGGACTTAAAGTCTCTCCTCTAACCTCCTTGCATGGCTGCAACATCTTAGCTGGTTGCTTAAGCTTCCCTTATCCTCATTTCCTCTTCTGTTCTGTAGTTCAGAGCCACATATGTCTATGTCTCTAAGAGCTGCTACATTTTAAGAGCTAACTTCACTTCAGCCATAACTGAGTCCTACCAACCCCTTATTATCATATTTTTCCTCTGCTGAGACATGGATCTGGTATAATGATTTCCTCTTGTCAGATGGACCAAGGGCTACAAGTTGTTCCACAATATATACTCACGGGGAGACTGCAAAACGCAACCCTCTGCGCAGCTATTAAAATAACCTCCCCTCTGTAATGGATTAGTTATTTCAGCAACGAGACCCATTTGAAGGGAGATCATGAGATAATTGACTGTCAAACAGTTGAACAATGTTAAGGTCAATTGTAGTGGAGGTCAATTCGTTTGAACAATGGGCCTGCTTCTGACAGGCTTCATAATGTTGATAATAATAACTTTGGTTTAATGGAAGTGTTCAGTGGTGTTAGAGAAGAATGAACTATTAGATGTTCAGATTAAGTATTGTCTAAACTCAGAGGGATTTGGACATTGTTTGGTCATAGAGAATAAAAATCCTTGGCTAGGGAAAACCAACTTTAAAGAACAGCTGGATTTAATGTCAAAGGCAAATGATTTTCTTTCCCCCTTTACCGATTGACTTGAATTTACATTGTGCAGATTGCGATTATTCCCCTACTCTATATTTATAGTTTCTCATTTGCATTTTCCAGAATAATTAAGAATTTAACCTAGAATGGGCCATTTTTGAATAGAGGTGAATGCTTTCTGATTTTTAAATAAACCATCTAAATTAGATACCAAATATACGTTGTATTCTCCTTGCCTCCGGCTTGGAGTCCTTCTAAGCTTCTGGACTCGTTACTGGAACCCAAAGGGAGAGATTGCTCACCCCATCCAGAAGTCTGTTTTTGTCTAGGAGGTGACTCTTGTTCACAGAGGACAAGCCATTTTGCAGATGGGGTCATCTACGTATGGCTATGTGGAGCCCACAGACAAGCTCAGCAGCCTCTTTAATGGGTGGACACTGAGGGACTCCCCAGTGAGTTCCCAGCAGACAGCAGAAGAGGAGAGCAGCTCTGCATTCTTTGCTTAAATTCCACTGAACATTTCCAATCTATTTTGCTTTGCTTTCCAGTGCAGACTCTTCCTTTGTGCTTTTAAAGGATTTACATCTCCAGGAAGAACATAACTCTGACACTCCCCGAGGTCATGCTGCCCTCAAGATTCAGCTGAGAAGGGGGAGAGCTAATCCTCAGGAGAGTTTGCTCCTCCAGCCAGAGCATATTCATCATCCTATTGCTCCCATTTAACACAGGAAGGCCAAAGCTCCAAAGGTCAAGGAATATGTCCCACATCACAGAGTGGCAGGAAAAACTGGCAACTGGGCCCACATCTATCTGCCTTCAAAGCCTATTCACTCTTCCTATCTACTTTACTACGTCCCAAATTTATAAATGGAACCTCATCATTGTGAGGGCTGCTTGGTTCTAATGCAACAAAGCCCCCTGTCTACTCCCTAAGTTCATTCTCTGTTAGTGAGTAGGGGGCTACTAAGGCCACGTCAACCCTGCAGCTGCTGGATTCTGCATTGCTACAACATGGTTCCAAGAGAAGGGCTGTGTTCTCCCTGGGCAGGGGGCTCTATGTCCCCAGGCAGGCATGAACAGAACTGCAGAAGTGATTCATTAGAGCTTCCTGAGAAGTCTACAGCCCCAGGCAGTTGTTTCTTTCCTTGGGACAGAAGGGGCAGGGGTAGGGGAGAACCATGAGACTCTGGATGCATGTAGGTGTGCAAACAGCCAAAAGCTCTTTCAGAGTTCTTGGATGGAGGCAGAGCATGTTGAGGTGTGTTGAGGACAGCTGACCTGGTTTTACTATAGGTTTTTGAGTTGTCTGCAAAGTTCTCTGCATGGTTGGGTTCCAGAGTTTCAAATACTCCCTCTACCCCCAAATAAAAATTAGTAGTAATCCCAACAATAATGTCTGTAAGCCCTTTGCAAAAGAGTCAAAGACCCTGCCAGTCAGACAGCATAACTTGTGAATTTCCTGGTACTCACCTGGACCAGGTCATTGATCAACTAGTTAGCAAAGATTGGGGCTTAATGGAGTCTGATGGGTCCATTTTGACATGGAAATGCACTGGAAACATCCCTGGGAAGGGTGGACCTTAGTGAGGTTCTACACTGGAGGAGCTTAGCCAATGATATTTGCACTTATCAAGCACTTACTATGTATCTGGTATAGTAACTAGGACTCTTAAATGCATTTTCTCACTTCATTATCACTCTATAAGAATGTAAGTACTATTATTATCAGCCATATTACAAATGAAGAAGCTGCGGCCGAGAGGGTTAAATAGCTTGCCTGGAGTTGCCCAGTTAGTAAGTGTTGGCACCAGAAGTCCCACCCACTCAGTCCAACAGACTCTACAGATAGGCTGAGCATCAGGAAAAGGAAGTGTGTATATAGGGATGTGTGTGTGTGTAGGGGTGTGTAGGTGTGTAGGGATGTGTGGGTGTGTAGGGGGGCACTGGCTAGACAAAAATGTTGCCAAGCATCTTGTCTGGCCTGAAAGCGAGGGCAGAATGGTGTCTGAGTAAAGTACTTGTAGCTTAGTTGCACTTGTTGTGACAAAACCAAACAAACAAAACTAACTTTACCTCTGTGAGAATGATAGGCAGAGGTTTAAAAAAAATCCTGTAATACTTGCTTTGTTTTGGCTTCAAAAGTGCTGTTGATAACAGCTGTTCCCAGTGTACAGTGTGTTTATTGTTGAGTAATTATGTTTTGCTTTCATATTGGCAAAGCTATTATTTGTACCCTTAGGAGCAGTGGACATCATGTATGCACAAATGAATTAATGTGACAATGGCTTTCGACGTTGGAAGCAGTGACCTATTAATCTTCAGTGTTAAATAAATACTCAGACCTGTTCATCATGGTGCCTATCACTACTGGGTTTCGCTGGCTACAAATTTCACAAGATCATGCAACCCAAAGGACTGGAATATAGACAAAAAGAGAGAAATCATGGACATCTCTCTTGTGATGATTTTGAAACCTATTCAAAGGCCAAAGAGTGTTTCTGATTTAAAACAGCCAGAGTGGTCAAAGCCAGACATTGGAAATTTCCCAGAAAGCATGTCAAGGGAAAGATTCCTGCACTGTATCCTGTCCCTAGAAGGCTAAATCAAAGTGACATTCCTCTTTCTCCACTCTCCACTTACTTTTGCACACACGCACGCACGCACACATGCACACACACATGCACTTGCATGCCCAGGGATCTTTGATTTCTCTCAAACTTCCTTAGTACCTCATGGAGGTCTCAGTCAATGGTATTGCTTGACTGTTTTATTATTACTTGCCATTTCCTGTATACAAGCCAACATACAGTTAGCTAACTTGCCCACTTAGTTGACTAAACGGAAAGGCAGACAGAAAACCTCAGTTAGGTGAAAGATGATGAATATTCTCAAGGAATAGGAAAGTACAATAATGAAGAAAAAGGTCTTGTGTGACCATCTTGCAGACTTGCATTCCAACTGGTTAACTTCAGACAAGAGGAGAGACTGACAAGCAGGGAGGAGACAGCTTACACACACAGAAAAGAGATGGGAAAAATGGAAGAACTGCGTTTAATAAATATTCTTATATTCTTGTGTCTTCATTATGTCCAAAGTGAAGTGTGGATTGTGGATTGCAGAAAAAAAAAGCAAGATTTAGCCTGTATTCCCAGAGAAGGCAAATTGTTGGACAGGAAACACCGACCCTATAAAGAGGCAGTGAGAGGTGGCTGTGTATAAAGGGCCCCAGTAAGACATGGTGAGAATGAAAGGAGAACAGGCTTTGTCTTACACACTCTTCAAGGCAAATCTGAAATGTCCAGAAAACAGGAATTTGAAGGCCTGACAGAGGTAGGAATTCATTTTGGCTAAAGCCTTTTTAATTGAAGAAGAAGAATGAGAGAAAAAAGCAGGAAGAGGCCAGAAAGGAGGTCACCCATGGAGACAAATGATGAATAAGGCCTGAGCAGTGCCTGGGGAGGGAGGAGGGAGCCGAGGAGGGAGCCAAGGAGAGGGCCAGGTGCCTGTATTCAATGCAGAAAGGGATGAGATCCAGAAAGTAGGCCAAGGGAACTTGGTCTACAAGGTACAAATCCTGTTCATCTCTGATACATCCCATGGGCAGTGAAACCCTGGAGTCAAATCACCATCCCAGACACAAGTAGGCCAAGCCTGGCACTGAGAAAAGGTTTAACCAGTGGCTTGTCAATGAGGTGCCATGGTTGAACCTTAATGCTAAAGTGAGTCCTAACACCAAGGCCAGCAGGCAGCTGTTCCTCTACCTGATGGGAAAGTCACAGCCACCCCCAGTGCTCCCCAAATAAGAGTACGTGGGGCTGGGCACAACACCTTGAGAGGCTGAGGCAGGCAGATCACTTGAGGAGGAGTTTGAGACCAGCCTGGCCAACATAGCAAAACCCTGTCTCTACTAAAAAGACAAAAAATTAGCCAGGTATGGTGGCACATGCCTGTGGTCCTAGCTACTCCAGAGGCTGAGGCAGGAGAATCACTTGAGCCCAAGAGGCAGAGGTTGCAGTGAGCCAAGATCAGGCCACTACACTCCAGCCTTGATGACAGAGTGAGACTCTGTCTCAAAAAAAAAAAAAAAAAAAAAAAGAGGATGCGGGTAAGGTGTGAATATCATCTCTTGGGAATGGGTGTGTTTTCCCTCATGAAAAGAATGAAGGCCTGAGTGAGATCATGTCTGTCTGTCTACTACTCAAAATCCTTTAGATCAGGGGTCAGAAACTGCAGCTGGTGTGATGTGTGGCTAAGAATGATTCTTACATTTTCAAAAGGCTGGTATAAACAAACAACAGCAACCAAAACCAAACCAGAATATGCCACAGAGGCTGCATGTGCCATATTCTTATATGGCACAAAATATTTACTGTCTTGCCCTTTACAGAAAAATGTTTGCTGACCTCTGCTCTAGTGGATTCCCACCACATTTAGACAAAATCCAAAGTTTATTATGGCTTACTAGTGGCATTGGCAGATTACACACACACACACACACACACACACAAACAAACAAAAACAAGATGCTTGCACAATATTTAGGATATACTTATATGAAAAAATGACTTGCTTTTTATCTGAAATTCAAATAAAACTAGACATTTTGTATTTTACTTGGTAACCTTCCTTACAGGACATGAAAGGGTGGTATAGCAGGAGTATGAGCTCTGGATCACACTGCCTGGGTTCGTATCTCAGCTCCGCCACTCATATAACTGGGTGAGTGGTTAACCTTTCCATGCCTCGGCTTTGTCAACTGCAAAATGGGGGTGATGGTGTCCTCTAGGGCACCTGGAACAGTATGTGGCATGTAGTAAGAGATCAGGAGTACCAGCTGTTACTATATCACCTGCTCCAAGATGCCCGTCTGGCTTTTCCTCCTGCTGCTCCCCAGTTTCCACATTTCACTATAGCTATTGTGGTCTTCTGGCCATTCCTGGACACTGCCTTAAAGGCTTTGCACCCATGGCACCCTATGCCTAGAACACTTTTCTTTCTACTAGCCTACAGAGCTCACTGCCTCAATGCACAAAGGATCCTGCTCAACTGTAACTCCTGGAAAGGCCTTTCCTGCTCTCTCTCTAGCCCCCTTTCTGCTTTCCTCTGTCATCACAGCATTTACCTCTCCCTGATACTGTTTATCTGTGTTATTTGCTCATGGTCTGCTCTCCCACGGCAATGCCAGCTTCCTGGAGTGAGAGTCTTAGTGATCTTGTTCTCTGTAATGTTCCTAATCCCTAGCACAGTGACTGGCACATATTTGAAGAATAAATGGGCCAGGTGCGGTGGCTCATGCCTGTAATCCCAGCACTTTGAAAGGCTGAGGCGGGTGGATCACTTGAGGCCAGGATTTCAAGACAAGCCTGGCTAACATGGTGAAACCCTGTCTCTACTAAAAATACAATAATTAGCCAGTCGTGGTGGTGCGTGCCTGTAATCCCAACTACTCAGGAGGCTGAGGCAGGAGAATCTGCCGGGAGGCAGAGATTGCAGTGAGCCGAGATCGTGCCACTGCATGCCAGCCTGGGCAACAGAGTGAGTGAGACTCTGTCTCAAAAAAAAAAAAAAAAATCAATGAGTAAATGATCTACTGTACTTTGCTAAGGGGCTTGCTTCAGAGTCATGGAAATAGTTATAAAGACATCAACACAGTATATAGAGGATTGACTACATGCTGAGACAGGGTAGTGAATAAACAGACAGGGTCCTTGTCCCCTTCTGAGTTTACAACCTAGCTGGGAAGGCAGATATGACACAGATACTTAGGACTGACAAAGTATAAAATCTGAAAAGAGTTGTTAACAAAAGTCCTGGGAGTCTTGAGAGCATTTAAAAGGTCCGGAAGGTCCTCCCGGGAAATGGACTTTTGAGCTGAGCCATGAAGCAAGACCAATTTAGCCAAGTGAAAAGGGGGAAGAAGAGAATTGTAGTCCAAGGGAACTGCATGTGCAAAGGCCTGGAGGCGGGGTAGGCCCAGAATGTTCAAGGAGCATAAAGGAGTGCAGGGAGCCCAAGGATGTGGGCTCCTTGCCACTGTGTGTAGAAACCTATTAGTCCCGCTCAGTGCTCGGGCTTTTTGTGTTCTGGCTTGATGCTTACATCAGCACAACTGAGGTGCATCTGGGCCAACGGCAGCCTCCTTGCATGTACTTATTAAAACTTGGGTTTGTTATTCTTTTCAGTTCATTTAAGCACTGGCAGAAAGGGCTGAGCTGACAGGTCTGAAGACTGATGGATGGATGGGTGATGCGGCACAGGTGCTTGAGGTGCTGCGACTCTTTTTTGCCACTCCCTGTTTGGCAGTGACAGCCCCGCAGGAACAGCACAGCCTTGAGTCAGCCCTGGGTGTCCTCTCATTGGCAAGCTCTATGAGCCTCAATCTCCCCACTAACAAAATGGGGAGGTGGGTACTAATATGTGCCTCGTAAAAAACAAGATAATTAGAAGGGATATAATGTGCTCAGTTTGTTGCCTGGCACATGCAGGGGACCCCGGAATGGTGAGCCTGTCTCTCATTCCTCCCTCTTCAAACCCAGCCTTCTTCTACTCAGCGGAATCCATTCCAGAGAAGGAAGACTTGAAGCTAACGTTTTCCATCCTGGGCCCTTTGAAATTCCGGTTACCTGAGATAGTCTGCAGAAATAGGTGCTGTGGTAAAATAGGTCCGTGGAGAATTCTTCCCCTAAAACCGCAAGGTTCCTTCTTAAAGCACCAACCAGGGGATTTTCCTCAGCCCAGAGCCAAGGATGTGTGGATGTTTGACACTCTAGAGCTTCCTGGCAAAGTCATTTTGTGATGCAGCACAGGCCCTCACACAGGGCCATTCACCGGCAGGGACTCCAAGTCCATGAGTCCCTTTGAGTGCAGGGTTGAGGTGTTTCTGACTAAAGAGGGCTGGTCCCCTGGCTGCAGTGCTGGTCGCCAGCTTCTGCGTGAAATCGCCTTATTGTAGGAAACCCAGAGGGTTCCTCACTGACCCCCTACTGTCACTTCAGCCTCCCACTCCCAGAGTTGGTACCCTTAGAGAAGCTGCTGTTGGAAAAACTTTATAAGCATTCCTTCACAGGCAACCAAGCTCAGAATCACGGTGCTTCCTGCCGGCTCTGGGGTGGGGGTCTTCCAGAAGAGGCTTCCCATCTGCACATCCATGCTGGCGTCCGGCATCTCCTGAGACCAAGAGACATTTTTGTCCTGAACACTTCTATACTACTATTTGTCAAATGGATGTAGAAGCTGTTGTAGGTAGAAAAATAGAAACTCATTTAGAACTTTTTTCTGAGAAATAATATTAGTGGCCACTAAGGTATAAATACCAACATGTATGGATTGGCAAATATTGTTAGCCTAAAAACCGTCCTTATTCCCAGACAAGTTTAGAGCTCTACTTTATTATTATTATTATTATTATTTTGAGACAGGGTCTTGCTCTGTCACCCAGGCTGGAGTGTGGTGGTGTGATCATGGCTCACTGCAGCTGCAAGCTCCCAAACTCAAGCGATCCTCCCACTTCAGCCTCCTATGTAGCTGGGACCACAGGCATGCACCACCACATCTGATTAATTTTTTAATTTCTTGTAGAGATGGAGTCCCCCTATGTTGGAACACTGCTGTAGAATATTTGGTATTCCTCATCACAGATGAAGAGACTGAGTCAGGGAGTGACTGGTATCATGCTTAAACTCAGTGAGGGCAAGCAGGGGCTATGGTATGCTAGTTCGTGAAGTGTATGATGGGGTCACACTTCAAACTGCCCTGTCCTCCTTCAAAGCTCCTTTTGTGGGGAGATGCAGGCAGGGAGAAAGGCTGCTATATTCTGCATCCTGCTGAACTTGCTGTGGCCACCCTTGGATAGCCTGGATTTGAGGACGTGGCTTTCTTATCTGATGAGCCCAATCACTCCTGCGTTTGGGCTGGCAGCATCCTGCAAAGGTGCATGGTCTAGAGCAGAACAGAATGAGCACTGCCTTAGGAGTTAGAAAACCTGGATTCTAACCTAGTTTAACCATCTATTATCCTTGTGGCTTGGGGCCAGCCAATTCCTCTCTTTTTGTTGTTTGGATTTTTTTTTTCCAACATCCACATCTGTATAGTGCGCGGTCGGTGGGAGAGGGAGCAAATCTGCTTTACTTTTCTTACAAAGATGCTGTGAAATAACAAGATGTAAAACATTTTAAAAACATTCAAAATGATTCAGCCAGACTCGGGCTGCTGACTGTATTTTGGTGCTAATGCCAAAGCAAACATTTCCATTTCTTTTGGCATGTCTAGCATCAGATTCATGGCCTGGAATTGTCAAAAACTGACCAGAAAAAGTTTCTTGGAGTCTGTCAAGGGCATTCAGTTATGGTTCAGCCGAGTTTAAACTTTGGGAAATTGCAGGATGAAATTGGAAATTGCCCTGGGTAATGGAGAGCCAAATTGGACCTTAGAGCAGGTAGCAGGGTGACTTATTTTTTAATGTTTCCAACATGAAAGAACACAATTGATTTTTTCCCTCCTTAATCCCTCCAACTCCCTAGCTTTTATTGTTTCTAAAATAAGATAAACCAAGCAGGTGTTATTTCAGCTCTGTAAACAATCTTTATTTTTCTGGCCGATAGGAATGGAAATTGAGACGGAGACCAGGCTTAAGAGAGGGGGAAGCCAGGCAATCAAGGAAATCATTGATCTTAACTTAGCCAGTTCCTACTACTTCTGCAAAAGCTCACAGTGGTCGTGCTCCCCCCCGTAACTTACCCTTGGGTCTTTGTCGATACCTCATGAAAGTGCGGAGCCTCCGGCAGAGAAATCTTCAAGCACTCTGGTTCCTTGCACAGATCAAATCGCACTTGTTATTTTTTAAGATTAGTGGCAGCTCCTAAAATGACTTTACTTTCTCGATCCAGGCAAATAATTGTCCAAAGATTTTATTTTAATGCTTCAGTGCTGGGAACATTGGAGGAGTTTCTATCTTATGGCACATTCTGAAGTTCCCCACCTATTTTCTTCTCCTTCTGTGTGTTTCTGCCACGGGCAGAACTGTGTGACATTCAAAGGCCTTTTCTGAGTTTGTAGACAGTTAGCAGGGTGGAGACAAGGAAGACATGAGCCTGAATGGTCCTAGTGAAGGAGATAAACCTGTGACCCTGGGCTGGGTCTGAGTCTGAAGATTGGGGTACTTGCTGCTGCTAGAGTGTAGGCATCAATCCAGGAAAGCCCCTTCCCTTGTACCAGTCCAAAATCTTGTGTGTCTCAGTCTTGGGTGAGTCCTTTCGCTCCTTGAAAAGCAGTTTTGGCAGAGCTGGCTCAGATGACAAGACTGTTGCTCCTTCTTCCAGGAAGGAGAACCTTCAGGGCTATTCTGCAGTGTCAGTACAGGATGTGAGAGCAGAAACAACAGGGTATAGAAGCTCCTCGAGCTAGCATGAGGTTACATCCTGATGAACCCATCGTAAGTTGAAAATAGCAGAAGTCGGCCGGGCGCGGTGGCTCACGCCTGTAATCCCAGCACTTTGGGAGGCCGAGACGGGCGGATCACGAGGTCAGGAGATCGAGACCATCCTGGCTAACACGGTGAAACCCCGTCTCTACTAAAAATACAAAAATTAGCCGGGCATGGTGGCGCGTGCCTGTAGTCCCAGCTACACAGGAGGCTGAGGCAGGAGAATGGCGTGAACCCGGGAGGCGGAGCTTGCAGTGAGTCGAGATCGCGCCACTGCACTCCAGCCTGGGCGACAGAGCGAAACTCCGTCTCAAAAAAAAAAAAAAAAAAAGAAAAGAAAATAGCAGAAGTCACAAATGCATTGAATACACGTAAGCTACCAAACATCATAGCCTAGCCTAGCCTACCTTAAACGTGCTCGGAACACTTACACAAGTTTATAGTTGGGCAAACTCATCTAACACAATGCCTATTTTATAATAATAAAAATAAACAAAAAAAGGCAAAATTTAAAATATGGTTTCTACTGAATGCACATAGCTTTTGCACCATCATAAAGTCAGAAGATCATTAAGTTATGCCATCATAAGTTCAGAACGTCTTTGTAGAGTACAGGTAAGGTCTTTGATGACAGACAGACTCAGGTTAGATGATGTTAGCTTTGTGCTATTATCTTAGCTTCCTGAGCCTCTATTTCCTTACCTCTAAAATGGGGATAATACCTCTACCACTCCGGTCTCAAAAATGTTAGCTACAATTATCATCATTGTTGT
The DNA here is from genome assembly GCF_000001405.40 of Homo sapiens. Classification (NCBI taxonomy): domain Eukaryota; kingdom Metazoa; phylum Chordata; class Mammalia; order Primates; family Hominidae; genus Homo; species Homo sapiens. Next base: position 29,751,906 of record NC_000002.12, on the reverse strand, counting down.
TTTATAGTCATCCTTAACCAGTATCTCTAGGGTTTATGTATATTTTCATCACCACTAATTAGTACTTATTGGTTGAACAAGAGGACAGAATACTTGAGCTGGGAACTGTCCCTAAAAATCTAGAACATGAAGACGTGGTGGACACTTGCTTTGCTTCTACTGTGCCTGGCAACATGTCACCTCATGAAAGGTGGTCACTGCCTCAGAATTGTCCCTAAGTTTCGGTAAAATGGTGCTTCATACAAGCAGGAACCTGAGAATTGGGATCCTAGGCTGCCTCAGAAACTAGTTACCTGGTGTTATTCATTAACTCAGAGTAGCAGAAGGCAAGAGGAACAGAAAGTGCAGTTATTACTTGGGATTACAAGAAGCTGAGATGCTCACACTCCATAAACACACAACTCAACGCCTTTCCCATCCCCGAGACCATGGGGCAGGCAGAACCCAAATCAAACTAGTCACGGGCCACATAACAACATTTCAGGCAATGAAGGACTGCACATACATCAGCGGTCTCATAAGCTTTATAAGGAAGCTGAAAAATTCCTATCGCGTGCTGAAGTCATAGCCATCGTAATGTCCTAGCACAATTAATTTTTTTAAAATAAATTTAGTGTAGCTTAAGTGTACAGTGTTTCTAAAATGTACAGGAGTGTACAGTAATGTCCTAGGCCACCCTCACTCACCACTCCTTACTGACTCACCCAAAGCAACTTTCAGTCCAGGCAAGCTTCATTCGTGGTAAATGCCCTATACAGGTGTACCATTTATTATCTTTAATGTTTACTGTAACCTTTCTTTCTTCTCTTTTCCCTCCCCTCTCCTCCCCTTCCTTTTGAGATGGAGTCTTGCTCTGTTGCCCAGGCTGGGGTGCAGTGGCTCAGTGTCGGCTTACTGCAACCTCTGCCTCCTGGCTTCAAGCGATTCTCCTGCCTCAGCCGCTGGAGTAGCTGGGACTACTGGCGCAGGCCACCATGCCCTGCTAATTTTTGTATTTTTAGTAGAGATGGGGTTTCACCATGCTGGCCAGGCTGGTCTCGAACTCCTGACCTCATGATCCACCCACCTTGGCCTCCCAAAATGCTGGGATTACAGGCATGAGCCACAAGCCACCACGCCCGGCCTCTGTCATTCTCTTTCTTTCTCTTTCTCTCTTTCCCTCCCTCCCTCCCTTTCTTCCTTCCTTCCTTCCTTCCTGCCTGCCTGCCTTCCTTCCTTCCTTCCTTCCTTCCTTCCTTCCTTCCTTCCTTCCTTCCTTCCTTCCTTCCTTCCTTCCCATTCTGTTCCGTTACACTCCACTCCACTCAAGCAATCAACCTGACCTCAAGCAATCTTCCCACTTCAGCCTCCCAAGTAGCTGGGACTACAGGCATATGCCACCATGCCCAGCTAATTTTTTAATTTATTGTAGAGATGGGGTCTCACTATGTTGCCCAGGCTGTTCTCAAACTCCTGGGCTCAAGGAGTCCTCCCACCTTGGCCTCCAAAGGTTCTTGAATTATAAGCATGAGCCACTCTGCCCAGCTTAGTACCTTTTCTATATTTTAATATGTTTAGGTCACAAATACCATTGTTATACAGTTGTCTACAGTATTCAGTACAGTAACATGCTGTACTGTGGCCTGGTTTGTGGCCTGGGATCGATAGGCTATACCATATAGCCTAGGCATATAGTAGGCTACCATCTAGGTTTGTGTAAATGCACTCTGTGATGTTCACACTGTGATGAAATCATCTAATGATGCATTTCTTAGAACAAATCCCCATCGTTAAGCAATGCATTACTATACTTCTCGAGTCCCATGCAATCATGCCCTCGGCGGATGTGCTGTCTGTCTGGGGCAGCTGTTCTCTGCCTGCTGCCTCTTTCCTGAAATGCATCTCTAGGCTGTTCCTTCCTGGCAGGGAGCCCTCATTAGCCTTCCTGGCTAATGCTGCTCTTGAGATAATGACATGAACCTGCTTTCAAGGGTCTGGAGTGTTTTAGGGGAGGAGCACTGCACTTCTGATTACCATAGGTCCAGGTAGAATGTGTTCCTATTCCGTGGAACAGGAAGACTCAACTCATTTCTTCTCTCCCTGTCTTGATAAATTTGGGGAAGATCTCAATGAACAAGTGTCTCTCTAGTTTCCATATATTATAGATAAGCTGTTCGGCTAAACTGAAGTTGCCTTATGTGGGCTAATAAATGGCTGGGCTCAGGGGGTTGGAGATGCTGTGGGCTGTGGGGGAGCCATGACCTCCTTTGCTTTGGGGACTGAGAACGATGGGCCCACCGCCCTATGGAGCAGCTTCCCTCCTGCTCAGCAACTGTTAGGCCTTTCCTTGGGTTTGGGCCTGAGGTCTTCCCTGTCTGAGACCCCTGGGTCTAGTTGGTCAGCAGTCCCACATGTCTCTCTGGGGTCCTAAGAATATTTATTTAAAACTATTATCTATTCAGGATTAAGGGGCCTTTCCTTTGGAGTATTTGTTCTCTGAGTGGGTGCTTAGCAACTGAAGTGCTGTTTGTAAAAGACATAGGTTGGTGTCCCCAAGCATTTCATAATGAGTGTGGGTTGAAAAGCTCCTCTGGTGATTTTTAAAAGGTTACCTTTCATCTATATCACAGGTTCTCAGAGCATGACCTCCAAACCACCAATGTTAGCATTTCCTGGAAAACTGGTTAGCAATGTGAATTCTTGGGCTCCACCCCAGACCTACTGAATCAGAAACCCTGGGGACTGAGGGCAGCTCTTTGAGCTTTAATAAGCCCTCCAGGTGACTTTGATGTGCCTTGGAGTTTGACAGTCACTGTCCTAAGTGGTCAGGAGGCGTGGATGTCAGGTATTTCTCTTCTGTAACAGGCCAGAGGACACACCTTCAGTATGATCATTCAAGAGATATGTTAGTATCTCTTACTTTGGGAGGCCAAGGCAGGTGGATCACTTGAGGTCAGGGGTTCAAGACCAGCTGGCCAACATGGCAAAACCCCATCTCTACTAAAAATACAAAAATTAGCCAGGAGTAATGGCTCGCGACTGTAATCCCAACTACTTGGGAGGCTGAGGCACGAGAATCGCTTGAACCCAGGAGGCAGAGGTTGCAGTGAGCCTTGATCGTGCCACTGCATTCCAGCCTGGGTGACAGAGTGAGACTGTGATTCAAAAAAAAAAAGTGATATGTTAGTATCTCTTAAAGTACCATCGACTAAGCGCCTTCTTCTGAATCACTGAGGGATACCTATTAAATATGTATACACTATGGTCCCATTTCAGTTTTTCTGAATCAAAACCTTTGAGGTTGGTGACCTGGGATTGTGTCTGTTCAACATGCTTCCCACGGGCTTCTTTCACCCAGTGAATTTTAGAAATAACCTTCCTATTCAATGTATAGTGTTTGACCAGCGGCATGTTCATCACCTGGGAGCTTGTTAGAGATGCAGAATTTTAGGCTCCACCCCAGACACTTAATCAGAACCTGCATTTCCAATATGATCACCAGGTGATTCATACACACATTAACATTTGAGAAGCATTGCCAAGGGCCATATGCTTAGAGCACTTGCTATGTGTGGGCTGCTGATTCATAGTTTAGTCAACACACCCTTGAGTAGAAAGTGTCATTCTAGGGTAGACCAAGGGCTCTTAAAAAAGTACTAGTGTCCCATGGGTCCTGACTCAGACATCCTGGAGCTTGTCCAGGATGTGATTAACAGGGTAACAGATGTCTTTGCAAAGCACTGGAGAGCTGATCCACACCTAACGAGTGTCACATCAAAGGCACCATGTGGATCTCTTGTTGTGGGTCTTGCAACCCCTTTAAGAAGGGAAGTCCACTTGACCGCCCTTCCAAACTGCTTTTTTGTTTTCCCAGAGGAGACAGGTAGGCAATCTCATCAGCTTAGATGATACCTAGCTCAGAGAAGCAGAGATTTAGGATTCACATGACTCATTCTTTCGTTGCTAGTTAGTTTTATGTAGCTTTCCAGAAAGGTCTGCCCACTGTCCTTTATACCTTAGTGTGAGTTGAGGTTAATTTATCTTTCCTTTGGACCTTGCCACTTTAGAAGGGAAAGCTTGACAATGTGTGCCATGACAGGCTCTAGACTTCCATCAAAGGAACTTTAGGCATCAAAAGCAGATGAAAAGGTATTGGATTTGGTGGTGGGGGAGGGGCTTTCTAGGAACCCACAAGAAATTACTGACTTGTTTCTCTTTTATATTTCTGGGAGGAAAATGATTGGGCCAAATGGTCTCTGGGGCTCTTTCCATTACTGGAAATTCTTTGGAGTATTTATTGAGCATTCACTCTGTGCTAGGTCCTGTGCTGGACATTGAGGGGATAAAAATGTAAACTGATGCTTCTACCTGTCTCCCAGGATGGGGTGGGAAGGGAGACAGAGACATCAGCCCCTCTCTGAGGTCCAAGAGATGCTCTCCTCCTGTCACTCCAAAACCGATGTATCCTGATGGTAACTCAATAGTAAAGGAAACTTCCATTTTTATTGGTGTGAGTAAACTCATTCATTCATTCATTAAACAATTATTTTTTAATGTCTCCTACCTGTAGACAATTGTTTCTGAAATTTGTTTTTAGATTTGAATATGAAAATGATCTTTCTTAAGAGCACCTGTTTCAAAGATAAGTTTGTAAACTTTCAGACTAGTTGGAACATATTGTTGTGAATAAAGCCCTGATTAGAGGAGAAGAAATGGGCTGTTTTCCCTCTAGTTTTCCATAGGACAGTTTGAGAGAGGTCAAGCTGGAGTTTTAATTGAGGAGGGCTTTTCCATCAGTCAGCACTGGCCACTCATGAAATAGAGTGACCTCCCCCACTCAACAAACACACACACTTGGAACTAGTGAAGGAAAGGTCAGATGTCATTGCCAAGGGCTTTGAGAAGGGACCTGGACTTGGTGGCTTCCTACAGTACTTTCCAACCTTGAGATTCTGTGAGGAATAGAGGGCTGTGTGAGATTCATCTCAGGGACTGTGGTTTCTTTTAGCATAACATCCTCATGGCTTATTTCGTCATGTTTCTGCACAAACATTATGAGTAGAATGGCTTGCATTTGCCTTTCTAATTTTCTCTCCCAGGTGAAAAGACACTAGGCATATGGTTCAAACACAATGGACTGATAGAAAACATGAAAGTTAGAATGTAACAGATATCTCAAAGGTAGCACCTAAGAAAAATTACAGGCACTTTCCTCCCCAAACTGGACTAAGGACCTAGAGTTTCAGTGAATCCCAGAAAATGTCAGGTTTCTCATTAACCTTTCTCTAAGTTACCTAAACCATATCACAACCCACAACTAAGGGAAATGCTGGAGGTGGCATGAGAGCCACGTGCTACATTAAACCCTATGCCTGGGTAGAAAACTGAGAACTTAGAATAATTTAGATCAAGTCACCCTCTTATTTAAAGAGTTCAAGCAAAGCCAAACTTTGTTGCACCATTCCCTATTTGTATTCTGAAGATTCAAGAGGCTCACAAATGCTGATCCTATAATTTGGGTACCTGTCACCAGCATGCATGGACCTAGTCCAAACAGTCCTTTGTGTTAGTAATGTGTTGTCAGAGAGTCAAGTAAGCAATTGTCATTTTCCATAAAAATTAATTGTTTAAAACTGATCTCTAGCTACATTTTAATTTTTTTTAATCAAAACTTTAAAGAAACCCATAGTTGGCAGTATTGCCTAATAGCCGATAGAGCAGGCTGTGGAGTCAAACAGATCTCAGTAAGAACCTTTAGTTTTGCTTCTTTCTAGTGGTGTTAGCTTAGGGCAAGTTACGTATCTTCTCTGAACCTCAGTTTCCTCATCTGTAAAGTGGGAATAATTGTAATACCTATGTCACAGGGTTGTTGTAAGGAACAGTGAGATAATAATCATAAGGGGATGGAAAAGTACCTGATTTATACTTAAGTGCCTCATTAAGATTGCTATTATTATACCTGATTTTTCCATAGTGGGGCTTGAGAGTGTGGACCTGTGGTCCTAGCATTCTGAGGTAAAAAGTAGAAGCTCTACAGATCTCAGGGTTTTTACAGTCTAGGATCATTCCCTCATTCAGTCATTTGTCCATCCAACAAATATTTATTTAGCACCTACTCTCTGCCAGGCACTATGGTAGCAGTCAGACAATAAGCAAGTGACTAAGCCCGTGTGTAATTATTGGTTGGGATACATGCCAGGAAGGAGGCAAACCATGGGCAGTGATGGGACATGCTGCTAAGCGGGGACCTACTTTGATAGGATAATCTGAGAAGGACTTTTTGAGCAGGTGACATTTAAGCTGGGTCCAAAGGATGAAAAAGATTGTGTCAGGCAAAGAACCACTGATCCTTTCATTAGTGCATAAGGTAGACACGATTTCACCAGGAGTACTCCAAACAAATTGAGAGCCCCAGCTTTCTTCTCATCTGTACAAGAAGTAGACCTTGCCAGCAACTGGGAGGGAAGGTTTTGCTCATTTTATTATATATGGTGGAGGGTTCATTTATATCAAACTTCTCTAGAGCCCAGCATTTTCAGGGGTGTTGTACCAGCAGGGATACAGTTTCCCACCTCAGTGGAAGCTGGCAGGAAGTTGCAGGAAGTTATGAAAAGAGAGTGAGCCTTCAGTCCAGATCTGGGATAAAATCTACCTCAACCACTTCCTAATTCAGTGAGTTTAGGCAAATTAGATGATCTCTGAGTCTCAGTTTCTTCTTCGGTAAAATGTGAGTGTGACTGCTGTTGTCAGGATTGAAACTGAAATGAAATAGCCATACAAACCATTCAGTCTAGTGCCTAGTATATGGTAGGCACAGAGTAAAGCACACTTTCCTGTGGGGCTGTGTATTTAAAACAGTGAAAATCGATTCCTCACTTTCTAACCCATGTGGTAGAAAAAGACATCTTTGGCATACGTGGTGGCTTTAAAACAGGTCCACAAATTCTTTGACACCCCTTCCATTCAAAAATAGAGTCGAATTCCCTTCTCCTTGAAAATGGACTTGCCTGGGTCACTCATGCCTGATGAGTAGAATGCAGTGGAAGTGACACTGGATGAGTTCTGAGGTTGCGTTGGAAAAGCTAATACAGCTTCCATCTGCTCTCTCTCTCGGTACCCCCCATCTTGAAACCGTGTTGTAAAAAAGCCAAGTGGCCACATGGAAAGGCCTCTTACAGATGATGTTCCGGCTAAAGCCCCAGGTGAGATCCCAGCCAAGAGTCAGCATCAGCTCAGAAGGTCGAGGCTGCCATGAGCTGTGATTGAAACACTGCACTCTGGCCTGGGTGACAGAGAGAGACTCTGTCTCAATCAATCAATCAATAAAATAATTTCCCAGAAAAGTCAGTTAATTAAAAAAAAGTCAGAATCACCCACCAGATATGTGAGTGAATGAGCCTTCAGATGATTCCAGCCCCCAGCCTTTGAATGACCCAAGCGAGCTAGAGTTGACCAGAGACAAGCTGCCCCAACCAAGCCTTGCCCAAGCTGAAGATTTGTGAGCAAAATAAATGCTGTCATTGTTTTAAGCCCTAAGTATTGGGGTTGTTTGCTACACAGCAACAGATAACTAGAATAGCACACTTCTTTGTCTTTCTCCAACCCACCCCCTGCCATAGTGTCTCTCCCACCACTGTAGACCCAGAGTAGCAGAGATATTAGGAAGGACACTGTACCATAGTGGGATCTTATTTCTTCCACTAACATCCTGCAAAGTCTTAGGCAAGTAGCTCCTCCTGTGGGGCCTCAGTTTCCTCCTGTGTGTGGTGAGTTTGGATTAAATACTCCCTAAGGCATCTGCTAGTCCCAAGGTCATGTAGGAAACTAATATGAAAATAGGAAAAGTTGCAAGATTTAGGTATTTTGCATTGTAGGCCTAAGTTTTGCATGCAGTGGCATGGAAACCCAATGTTCTCTGAGAGCCTTCTTTGCAACTTTTCAATTAAAGAAAAAAAAAACATGGTCTAAGCATTTTTTTTTTTATTTCAGAGGGAGATTTTATGTATCTCGAGACCTCCATGTGAACCATAAAATGGGCTTGGTTGGAGCCTTGCAGGCCTGTCCTGATCCAATTGTCTAGCAATTCTCATAGAATCCTCATTAGAACCTGTGCCCTAAAGAAGCCTGCAAACCTGGGGCCCATTTAACACCTGCAGTTCTCTTAAAGTTTAAACAAAGACTGGCAGGCCTCAGGCTAACAGAGTTTTAAGCCCCCATCTGTTGGGTGGTTTCTGGCAGATGGTCTTTAAAAGATGCTGTGTGTTTTATCATTTCAGTTTCTTCTGAAGAGGGATTTAAAATCAATTTAAGGGTCATGTTCAGGGACTTTGTCAAAAGTACAGGCTCCACGTCAAACAGGAATCCGTCCTCAGGGGCTCACTAATGACAAAAGGAAAGTGATCCGGGCTGTTCCATGGATTCTTGTTCTCATCTCCTTCCTTTGTGGAGGGGATAGCTTTTCTTTTGAAGTCTGTTGCTTCCTTCATTTAGTCTTTAATTTTATACCACCAAGGTGAGTACTACTCTGTCTTATGTACATAACTGACTGTGGTATGGGAGACTTCCCTGATGAGCAAAGGCCAGTCTGAAAAGGGCTGGCTTCCAGGTTTCCAAGTCGAACATCATACTCTAAATGAAACAGAGGAAATTCTCATTAAGGGAAACTTCTGGGTAAGCTTTGGCGGGAAGAAGAAATGAAAAATTGTAGAAGCTTTAGAAATCTCAGCTAGCTTATGCATTATCAATATGGAAAAATGGATTGTTGCTTTTTCCATCCCCGCTCCTACCCATGGATAGGGGAATCATGAAACTCAACATCAGAAAAAGTAAATACCAAGAGCCCAGAAAGAGCACAACTTGTTTTTCTTGGTCTGTTTAAGGCTGCTGAGATTGAATTGTATCCCTAGGATATTGGAGTTTTTCTTGTCTATTGCCTAGAGCCTGGCCATTATTGTGATATTTGGCTGAGACGTTGCCAAAGTACAAGAAGTGTTTGTTATTATGAGTCCTTCACTGAAAGGTGGCTGGCACATGAAGGGCCCTATTCATTGCTGGCCGTTGCAGCTGTTATTTTGGTAGGGGCTGCAGCTGTGTGTAGGGAAGGCTCTTGCTCTGGGCTGCTCTAGGTGTCTTAGAGCAAACAAAAAGGAGGGAATAAGCTCTTCAGGTTGTAGTTCCACTTTGGATTGCAACCTAAGGCATGCTTGCTCACCTGGCTAGAATGGGAGAATAAGTGAGGTTTGGCATGCCAGAGTCTCCTGCCAGGGGTTCCCTGGCCCTGAGCTATGGTTGCTGGTTTCTGTTGGATAGATCACTGGACTAATGTGTCAGTGCCTAGTGTTGGATCCCTGGCTAGGTGGAGAATCTAACATACAGATATAAAGCCTGTAGGGGAAATCAGAGCCAGGAAGGACCTTGGCAATCAATTGGCCTAGCCCCTTTCTATTATGAATGCAGAAACTAGGCCCACAGCCATGGAATTCTTTCCCCACAGCCTGTAACAGAGGCAAGGCCGCCCATCTCTTCTCTCAACTCCAGCTCAGGTCTCAGTCCAGGTCAAGCAGCCTGTGAACTCAGGCCCTTGGTCACAAGGGTGTTCAGAAGAGGGCTTAGCACCATTCGCCCATACCTACTGTGGGAAAAGCAATGTAGAGTGCTTGCCCTGCTGATGTTTATCAGCAAGCCTGCCTTAGGATTAAGATGGCATCTCACCTAATGGACCTGTCCCTGCATTTTCCCTCCAGAAAGAGGGCCTTGGACAAGATGAACCTCCCTGCCCTGTTCACTCGCAGTCACACAGGCCCTGCCTGAGGTGAGGCTGAATAGAAGCGAAGGCTGTCATGAGTTGGAAATGGCCCCCATTCCCAGGGAAGCCCTGTGAGCAGTAAAGTTGTTAGTGTGATGAAGGCCAAGATGCTCACTGATGTGGGAGGCAGAGTTCAGGTTTCATTATTGAAATGTCCAGATTTTTTCATGGGTGATTGAAACCTTCTTAGTCCCAGCACTTTGGGTGAGTAATTCTCTCTCCCCAGCTCCTCTTCTTGACCCCATTTGGACCCCAGTCACGTAACTGCCAGCCTTTACCCACTAGGGTCCCTCTGAAGCTGCAGCTTGGATCCCATGTCAGAGTCTATCTATGTGGCACCTTCAACTTGCCCCAGAGACTTTTGTAAGGGGATAGAGGCCAAAGAGGCTTTTGTCTTGGAAGAACCATCACAAATGATTCTCTACTTCTAAGAAAGGGGTTGAGCTTGGTTGCTGTCAGCTTCTCATTGACTAGGTGATGTCACCAGGGGAGACATGGGCTGGTTCACTTCAATAACCAAGCAGCTCAACTTAAAAGCTTTGAATGGATCTGACCTCTTATTCCAGATTGTTTTTGTGAAGATTGATTAGCTTCAGTATGCAGATTATATAAATTTATTTTATTTTAACACACGTTATGTTTTAGAGCAGTTTTAGGTTCGCAGCAAAATTAAGTGGAAGGTACCAACATTTCTCATATATTCCCTGCTCCCACAATGCATAGCTCCCCCACTGTCAACATTCACACCGGTTTGGTATAATTTGTAACAATTGACAGACCTATGCTGACACAGCATTATCACCCAAAGTCTATAGTTTACATTAGGGTTCACTTTTGATGTTGGGCACTCACCGTTATAGTATCATAGAGAGTAGTTTCATTGCCCCCCAAATCCTCTGTGGTCCACCTATTTATCTTCCCCACCCCTACTCCTAACCCCTAGCAAACACTAATCTTTTTCCTCCATAGTTTTCCATTTCTAGAAGGTCATACAGTTGGAATTATACAGTCTATAGTCCTTTCAGATTGGCATCTTTCATTTGGTAATATTCATTTAAGTATCTTCCATGTCTTTCATGGCTTGATACATTTCTCTTTTTTATTTTACTTTATTTTTTTCTGAGGCAGAGACTTGTTCTGTCACCCGGGCTGGCATGCAGTGGCACGATCACTGCTCACTGCAACCTCTGCCTCCTGGGTTCAGGCGATTCTCCTGCCTTAGCCTCCTGAGTAGCTGAGATTACAGGCATCCACCACCACGCCTGGCTAATTTTTGTGTTTTTAGTAGAGACAGGGTTTCACTATGTTGGCCAGGCTGGTCTCGAACTCCTGGCCTTGAGTGATCCGCCCACCTTGGCCTCCCAAAGTGCTGGGATTACAGGTGTGAGCCACCACGCCTAGCCTAATAGCACATTTCTTTTGAGCGCTGAATGATATCTCATTATCGGGATGTACCACAATTAAATAAATTTTTAAATATCAAATACTCTATGTTAGTGTGATTTGTCTGTTTTACTTGCCACCTAATATTGGCACTATTCATAACCATTCAGAATCTAATGCTTCTCTCATTTTTAATATGTTCCTTTCAATAGTCCTTTGAAGCAGGTAGGAATTGTCATGGTCCAAAGATAAGAGAACAAAAGGACAAATAACCATGTTTTTCTGTCTGTCTGTCCCTTTGTCTAACTGTCCCTCTGACTGTCCTCATGTCTGTCTTTCTAACCACCCTCTGTTTGTCTCAGTGTCTGACTGTCCATCTCTCTCTCCCTCTTTGTCTGTCTTCCCTTCTTTCATCCGTTCCTTTTTTCTTCCTTTTTTTCATTGAATAAATATCCGCTCTCCTACTATATGGAAAGCGTTACTTTTGTTAATTCGTGAAGCTGATAGAGCTCTGTTTTACCTTTGTGGAGCATAATAGTCAAGTAAACTGGCCCTGCATAGTTAGGGACTGAAAACTTCTCAATGTCAGAAGTAGAGACTTGAAACAACAGCCTCTGACCTCACATCAGAATGCAGTAGCTCTCTGAGGTTCTACTAAACTAGGGAATGAGTATGTATGGTGTAGGCATTCAATCAATGTTTGTTGAATTGAATGCAATACAAATGATAAAAGTAACATTACAAGTGAATTCTTGAAGTCTTCATTACATGTATTGGAAGGTGTTTTTGGCATTTTATCCACATTTCTAGTTGCATCCTTAGTGCCTGGCACACATGATAGAGTTTCTTGTACTGCTGTGGTATGTATCACTGGCTATAGAGTCAAAACCCATGCTTGCCTCTAATTATTTGATTCTAATGGGGGTTTGGGGAGTGAACTCACATTGAAACAGTCATTGATATGTGCTTGGTATTCACAATACACATCTCATAAAATCTTTTAACAATAATACAAGGCAGAATTTTCATCTTCATTAAATTTTGTAACAGATGAGAAAAAGGAGGCTCGAATATATTAACCTGCCTCAATCACATGCCTTGTAAGTGGTAGAATGGAAATGCAGATCCAAGTTTATCAAATTTCACAAACCATGTAACTATGTTCTTTTTTTTTTTTTTTTTGAGACAGATTCACGCACTGTCGCCCAGGCTGGAGTGCAGTGGCGCAATCTCGGCTCACTGCAATCTCTGCCTCCCGGGCTCAAGCAATTCTCCTGCCTCAGCCTCCTGAGTAGCTGAGACTACAGGCACATACCACCACGCTCAGCTAATTTTTGTATTTTTAGTAGAGACGGTGTTTCACAAAGTTGGCCAGGATGGTCTCAATTTCTTGGCCTTGTGATCTACCCGCCTTGGGCTCCCAGCGTGCTGGGATTACAGGTGTGAGCCACTGGCACCTGGCCTATGTTCTTTTTTTTTTTTTTTTTTTTTTTTTTTTTAAGAGAGACTGTCTTGCCCTGTTGCCTAGGCTGTAGTACAGTGACATGATCTTATCTCACTGCAGCCTCAAACTCCTCGGCTCCAGTGATCTCCCTGCTTCAGGCTCCTGAGAAGCTAGAACTACAGATGGGTGCCACTATGCCTGGCTATTTTAAAAAATTTTTTTGAAGAGACAGGGTCTCACTATGTTGCCCAGACTGGTCTTGAACTCCTGGTCTCAAGTGATCCTCCTACCTTGGCTTCCCAAAGCACTGGGATTACAGGCATGAGCCACTGTGCCTAGCCAATATAATAATGTTCTTTTCTCCCTTTTCTGCACATCTTTGAAATCAGATATCCTAGAAATTATTGTTTTGCTATTTTTGGAACTGGATTGTCAATAGCAAATATCCTTGTGTGTTCTGACTATGGTTTCATTCTGAGTTTCATGAAGCTCTAAGCATAAAACTTCAAATCACCAAGTAGAGCAAATGGCTCATGGCATGGTGTTCCTATCATGCTTCAGCTTTAAGTTGAGGCCACTCTTTAATTGATTCAGTCTCTATAGAGGGTAAACAAGTCTCCTTTCAATAGTCCTTGTTTGAAATTTCAGTTCTTCATTTGATTCTCTTTTCCCACATTGAAAAACCCTAAGGTCCACATATTCAAAACACGTCTCATATTTCTCCTCGTCCTAAAAACCTGGGCAACCTTCTCTAAATATGACCAGAGATGGATTCATGGGCTGTGTTATCACCACTCAGTAGTTCTGGAGTGACAACAAAGTAGTAGATGGCCACATAAGTTACAGAATTTTCCCAGCGGGCTCATAAGCTAAATTATGCCATCAAGACATAAATGTGGAAGGCTATTTTATGATAAAAAGTAATGATACATACAACATGAGCATGATTCTTCTGCAAAAAGGGCATGCAAATTTATAATATATCGTTTACTTTTCAAGCATCCATTTGGTCCTTCTCTTTCCATTGATATGGACTCCAAGGTCCATGGGGGCTGGGACTTTTTGGCGTGATGCTCGGTTTTGTGTAACTAGGTGCAGCACCTAGTTACAGTTCAAGAACAGAACAAGGGCTCAGGTAGTATTTGATGAATAATTGAATGAGTATAATATAACATGATCTTCCTGACCTGAGGCACATGAAAAGCTACTGCCAAAGCCATCTTTCTAGCTTGCTGTTGCTGATGATCTCTACCCTTTTTCACTGCTCTTATACCAAGATCTGGGTTTCAGGGCTCAAATTAGGCCCACCAGGCTTGCATTTTTGCTCTTGCTCTCTCTTGTGCCTGTTGTTCTCCCGCTCACCTTGGCTCAGCTATCCTCATGATGGCCTGACTATTCTTCCAAGGTCTAACTTCAACTACAACTCAAACCATTTTCCACCCTCCATGCAGGCACATGTGTTATTCTGAGGAACCATCCCAAAATGTTTCCTAGTGGTGGAGACTCAGGGAGGATTATGTAAAAGAAAACAGACACCAGATTGGGAAGGATGGTGGAGGTAACGCTTCCCAATAGACTCTTTTTCTGGGCAAGCCATGTTCATGGCAGATGCCTACCACCTGCTTGTTGTATTCTGGATTCCCTAGTTTGCCAGTTCTTTTCTAAAACAATGCAAGAAATGAATGCAAAATTATCACTGTGCTTTGCCCACTGTGGAGCCCAGAGCAGTCACTGCTGCCCATAGCCAAGAGATTTTGCTTCTCGTGATGTCACTTAAGATTGGAATTAACGTCTTCTTAGCTGCCATGCTGCACTGCTAGCTATCCAGAGCTTGGGGCAATCATACATCCAGACCCATTTTTTAAACTATATATGAAATGTAAAATCAGCACCAACTGCAGTTTTCCAGAACACATTCTATACTTGTATAGAGAATAGTTTTACATTTGTTTTTCAAAAGTAATTCACATTCATCAAAACATAATGAAAAAATACAAATATAACAAAGCTACCTATAATTAAATCATGCAAAGATATCTACCCCTAACATTTTCATGTATAGCCTCCCAATCTGTTTCATGCATTTATCTCTAGCTAGCACCTATATATTTTCACAACATTAGATCACATTGTTTATATTGTTTTATGACCTGCCTTTTAAAATTAACATATTTGTAAAAAATACTTCTACATCAACACATAAATTTCTACAAAACGCTTTTACTGGATAAGATTTTATTTTAAGGATGCCCAAAGTATATGCAACCTATCACATACCGTTAAACATCTAATTCTTTCTAATCTTTAGGTTCTACCAAGTACTGGAACAAGGAACATCACTGGGTCTAAGTATTTGTGCCCATTCTCTGTTACTTCCCTGGGATAGTCAACATTAGCAATTCAATTAATAAAAAATATTTTAAGACTTCTGATCCATAAATTTTGACAAGTATTAAATTTCATCCTGTATACGGCTTAATTACAAATGTTAACTCTATTTTCTGTGATATCAGTTATCGCTACAAATTCAATAAGCATTTTTTTCTATGTCTTGTCATTGATTTTTAAAAGTGTTCAGCAAGATAAAATCACTCATTCTATAAATATTTGCCAAAAGTCGACACTACATAAGGCACTCTGCTAGATACTGGGGTAAGGGGAGTAGAAATTCAAGAGTGTATAAGCCTTAATCTTGGTCCTCTTTTATTTACTTAGTACAGGAAACATTGCTTCATTAATAAATAATTCTAAGCATTATTTTTATTAAACTTGTTCCCTTGTTTCCATTTTTTAATGTACTAAAATATAAGTTACTTTGTCAAATTTTAAAATACACTGTCAAAATGAAAATAAGGGTAATTTGGCATGAACATGGCTTACTTTATTTCCACCCTGGATTTAAAAAAAAAATGACACATGGTTATTTTAGTCCATTAGAAAAATTCAGAAAAGTATAAAGAAGAAAATAAATGACTCATAACCAGACCATTGAAAGGCAATTACTGTTAATTGGTGCATTTCCTTCCAGGCATTTTCTTTGTATATTTTTCACACAGCTAGATCATACAATATATGTAATTTTCCAAGCATATAATGTAAATATTTCCCTATGTTATCAAAAACCCTTTGAAAACATTATCTCTAATGGCTCTATAATATTCCATCATGGAAATGAACTACATATATAGAGTTTGATCATTAATAGTAAAAGCTCTGGAGTAAGACTTCCTGGGCTGTCATTCTGATGCTGTCATGGGCTGGCTTGGGGTCTTGAGCAAGTTACTTTTCGATGGCTCAGTTTTCTTATACGCAAAATAGGGGTAATTATAATCTCTAACTTACAAGGTTTTTGTAAGTGTATTAGTCCCTTCTCACACTGCTGTAAAGAACTGCCCCAGACTGGGTAATTCATAAAGGAAAGAGTTTTAATTGACTCACAGTTCTGCATGGCTGAGGAGGGCTCGGGAAATTTACAATTGTGGCAGAAATTGAAGCAAATATGTCCTTATTCACATGGCAGCTGGAGAAAGAAATGCCGAGCAAAGGGGGAAAAGCTCCTTATAAAACCATCAGATCTCACAAGAATTCACTCGCTATCATGAGAACAGCAGCATGGGGGTAACTGCCGTATGATTCTATTACCTCCCACTGGGCCCCTCCCATGACGTGTGGAGATTATGGGAACTACAATTCAAGATGAGATTTGGGTGGGGACACGGTCAAACCATGTCAATAAAGAATAGGTGAGATAATTCAAGTAAAGCTTAAACTAGCACCTGGTACATAATGAGTATGCAATAACAATTATTATTACTACTACTCTTACTACTACTATTACTATTATTTTCTAAATCATTTAACCTATTGCTAGATATTTAAGTTGTTTCCAACTAAGATAGCATTTATTATTATAAAATCACTGAAGGCTGTGATTGTTCACAAACACTTTTATAACTTTCAAATATTTTCTTAGGAGAGAATCAGTCAAAAGTATCAACACTCTTAAATACTGCCTAAATTAGTTATCTGTCCTTATGTACAGTATAATGCATTGTTGTTATTCTAAACAGGGGAATGGTATATCCAAATCAGAACCCCCTGTAGGGCTTTCTCTTGCCTCATCCTCTCCTTACCCATTTCCATTCTCCCTGCAACCCCTAGATGACAAGTGAGAATCAGAATCTCTGGGGCATTTGAAACTGACCCTTTTAATTTCTTCATATGCAAAACGAGAATACCAATACCTGTTTCATGGGGTTTTTGTAATAAAAAAATAAAATGATCCATGTGCATAGCAATTTACACATACTCATTGTTAGTCAATTATTACATTATTATTAAAAAAATTAAATTTACAATTCATACTTCTACCAGGAATGTATAAGATTATCTATCTCATTGCCCTCAGCAGTGCTGAGCATAATTATTTTAAAATATATTTTAAATTGTATTTAAATTACCAAAATATCTATTAAATTTATTTAAATTATTTAAGTGATTTTAAATATTTTCTAATTCAATAAGTGAAAAGTAGTAGTCCAGTATTTTAATTTTCTTTTATTTGATTACTGTTGGAATTGAGATTTTTTTCAAATATTTATTAGCCATTGATATTTGGATATTTGTGTGTGTGTGTGTGTTTCAGAAAGAGAGAGGGAGAAAGAGAGATCAGGATCTATATTTATTTTTACAGGTGTCTTTGTTTTGTAATTATTTTTCTTTTTGAGCATGGGGGAAGAGGTTGCTCATTTTGATAGTAAAGATACTATCCCTAGACTGACCATGTCTTATTCCTACTGAACTAGTTTTGTCTCCCTCTGGTCGATGTATATTTCTAAAGGCTTCCGTGCCATCTGATTAATGATCTATTTTAGAGTTTTCTCCAAGAGCACTGTTAAACTTATAGGCCTGTGGTCCCCGAGCTTTATCTTTTTTTCATGTTAAAAAAATCTGAAAACGTTAGACAGTCTCTTCTCTTTAGGGCAACATGAAATCTCCATAATTACTCAGAGCAGATGGGGATGGAGATGGTCTGCAGCACCTTTTCTTGGAACTTGAACATGGTTGAGGGATAATGAATATAAACAGCACAGATTGCACAATTGCCAAGTCAATGAATCTTGGACACATGGCTAGAAGGAGGCTGAGTCCTGGGCCCAGTGTTGGATCTCTGCCCTTTCCCGCTGCTTGTTCTCCAAGTCCTCTCATTGGGCCGCTAACTTGTTTTTCCATGCCTCAGTTCTCACCTTGGGAAACTGATGTATGCTTTGCTGGCTCGCAGACTGACAGCTTTTGTAAGCATTACAAGCAACTCCAAGTTCAGGCCATCTACTGTTGGCCCCTCTGATGTTGATCAGTGGTGGTCTGCCAGGATCTACAGGCCACAGGCTCAGCAGGTCCAATGTCCCATGGCCACTTTTTTCCAAGACAGCTCCTCCAACCCCTCCTGTCGCTGCCTGCACAGCCCTGAAAACCTGCCGGATCCCCGTGGGTGTGTCTGGATTGCAGATCTTCCCCTCCTGTCTACAAAGTGTATGTTTCCCTCATAGGGATCACATGACTCTTCCCTGAAGTTTTAAAACTCAGAACTCTCAATGGCTGGGCCCATATTTTGCCCAGCATTTTATTTTCTATAATAATAATATAAATCACATTGACTGAACACTTACTCTAGCTAGGCATTGTGCTAAGTGCTTCATAAGCACTCTCTTATGGCATCTTCAAGGCAAGCATGTAAGATTGCTTCTATTATTCCCATGTCACAGAACAGGAAAGTGAAGTGTGAAGAAGTTAAATAGTTTGCCTGAGGTCACGTAGGTGCTAGTAAGTGTTGGAACTGTGAGTTGAGTTCAGGCCAGCCTGACATCTAAACCCATGATCTCAACTCCAAGACAGCATGGTACCATCTGGGATTCCCCATCTGGCCTCCTTTTCCCTTAATCTAGTTTGCAGCCCCTTTTATAAATTCCATATCTCTTGCCACAGATCTCTATTAAACAAGGACATTTCAAAGCTATAAGAAGACCTGGCTGCCATTTCATTCTTCTGGGTGATACCAGCAGATCCTGATCCTGCTTTACTTCATGTATGACTTCCAGGGAGAATGGCTAGGTTACTCTTGTTCCTAGTGCCCCGCTTTCAGGGAGAGTGCCCCACTAGCCAATTGTGTATCTTCCTCTTGGGTGTCATGTTTTCTATTTGCTCAGAGTGGATTTCCTTCTACTTATTTCCTAGCCTCCTTCCAACCCCCTGGAAGGCTGCTTCATGTTCTAGTGCTTCTCTCTGTTGGTCTTATATTCACTCCACTTATATCAATTCATGAAGGTCAGAAACTCAAAAGTCTTTATCTTTGGGGTCTCCCTTAGTCTATTCAGGCTGCTTAAAAAAAAAAAAAACCTATAGACTAGGTAGCTTAAAAACAACAGAAGTTTATTGTTCACAGTCCTAGAGATTGGGAAGTGCAAGATCAAGGTGCCAGCAGATTGAGTGTCTGGTGAGGGCCTGTTTCCTGATTCACGAGCAGTGCCTTCTTGCTGTGTCCTCACATGGTGGAAGGGGTGAGGGTTCTCTTTTGGGCCTCTTTTCTGTGGGCACTAATCCCATTTATGAGAGCTCTGCCAAAAGCCCTACCTCTCAAAGGCCTCACCTCCTAATACCATCACACTGGGGAGTGGGTTTCGACATGTGAATTTTGGGGGAACCATAAACATTTAGTCCACAGTTCTCCCTAACAGTCAACAACCCATAAACACATCTTCCTCAAGTCTTTTTCACCCCAAGGGTGAGTTAAACCTAGTATAGATATAATTGCTATTTACCTCAGGCAGGAAAACCTCACAGTTCTACAAGTGTGGGCAGTGAGGAAGCCATGGCTGGAACTTCTGGAGTTTGTGACAATAGTTCTTGGCTCCCCCTGCCCATTTCAGAGTCTGGGACCCCAGAGTAGGTGGAAAAGTCACTTTTGCATCTTGTTTTATTTCTCTCTCATATTCTGACTACAGCAGTTGCTTGGTAGTGGCAGATTTAATAGTCACACTTTCTACTATTTGCAAGCGACCCCAAATTACATGATATGTAATAAATTGTCATTTTGCTGAGATAAGAATTTGAAAAATCTCATGCTATGAGGCTGGGTTTGGTTATGAGTCACTTAGTGAATGATTTATTGTTTTCTCCCTATTGTAGCAATGCATTTTATGGAGGTAGTGATATGTTACAGCAATATTCTTGAAGATGAGGATTCCAGAAGTCTCTGGATGCATGCTGTACAAATGACCAGGGTTTACCCAGTGTGCGAGGCCCAGGGCAAAGGGAGGACTCTCCTCTCTTCCCCTCCCACTGCTGAGTATGAGAAATTAATAGGGAATTGACCTCACCTTCCTACAACACCTTTACAGGTCACTGACAGAACCTCCCAAGGAGTCAGGGGTGCTCTTGGTCCACAATTATAAGAGATAGATGTAGTATTATCCAATTAGCCCATGGTTCATTCACCTGTTCCAAATATCTTTAATGCTTAGTCCTGACTGCTTCTCTTGGGCCAAATTGCTATTGTCCTAATGAAAATATATATCTTTGGTTTACATTTGGAGATATTACAGGATTTGAGGAAATATTTTCATTTTCCATCCAGAGGTTTAATGTTGTGTAAGTGCTGCCTGAGTGTGACCTACCTGTATCTAATAAAATCATTAATTCAGCAGGCCGGAAGGTTTAGTTTCTGTTATACCTGTTGCCAGCAGCTCATCCTGTCCCGATGCTGCCCAGAATCTCCAGTGACAGCAAGACCCAGGAAGTCTTGGGAAGACAGAGTGCCACTTGCAGAAAAAGAGTCCATTATCTTGAAAGCCGCTCCTGGAGTCATTGCCAAAAGCAGTTTCTCCGAGTTTATGCTCAAACCTTGGAAGGCTTCTGCCACCATGATTGAAGGGGACATGGAAGAAGCCAAGCCATCTTGGCCAGCAAATGTCACCAGTCATGATGAGCCCCTAATCCTGATGGGACTTCTGATAAGACGCTTGTATGATGACAGATGAGGCTACACACAGCAGTTTAACTCAGTCATTTGTAATCATTACTTTTTGGCCATTCAATAACCATCCTGTGAAATTATTTTCTGAATTTCCCAGAGTAGAGATAGGAGCCAAGTTTTACCCCTTTTCTTTAGGGAAGCCTCTTGACAGTTACAAATGCTTTAAGGAAACTTTCTGAGGCGCTCTCAGATCAACCTTCAAAGCCCTTACTCACCCATGCCACCTGCTTTGTTTGAGTGATGACACAGTGTTGGCGACAAGCACTGGGAACTTTCTGAGGCCAACGTCTCTATTGTCATGTAGACATGTCCCTGGGGCAAGATGCAGGGTGACAGTGCATCTTGCTCTTCTCATTGTGTGATTGTGGCCACATCTCCTGACCCAGAGCTTCCTTCTCCAGTAGTGAGCTGTGGTCCCATGTGTGCTGGCCAACAGGTGTGCAGAGACACTGACCTATGGAGCCTGTCAGCACACTGGGAGGCTAGGCCAGACCAGGAGTGGCAGAAGCCCTTGGGCCAGTTGCCTTTCACTGCAAGCAACCTTAACTCTTTACTCCAGTGGATCATATAAATATTATTTTCTCTGTGTGTCATGATATGAAAAAAGGTGAGGAAGCACTGGCTTAGCCTCTCTGATTCTTTGTTTTCCTCTTGTGTAAGTTGGGATTTGTTTTTCTTATCTTATTAAACCTTTATGAGGATCAAAGGCTTAAATGAAAGGGCTTTGGGAGTCCATGTATTTGTGGGGTGTGTCATTGGCCACAGAGATAGAACTCTATCCCTCTATCTCTAGTTTACTTTCATTGGCTGTTCCTTTGAAAATGAGGTGGAATTCCACTTTTTTTTAGCCTTTCCAAGTCATAAAATCAATGTACTGTACCTCCTATTTAGGTTCAAGCACTTACATAACACTATAATTCTGTATAGTCTTTGCTTCTTATGACTTCTACAAGGTGCCTACCAGAGCAGAATCTGCTTATCCCTCTGTCTACTTGTGCTGAGGGTACACACTAGTGTATCTGCCTCCTCCTGGTCTATCCTGCACTCACATCCCAGCATCTCCCAAATCCCCGTAGGCCTGCCCTTCCTAAGGACAGCCTTTGCTTTCTCGGAGCTTGTGCCGCATTTAATGGCAGGTCCTTGCCAAGGGGCGAGGGGATCCCGAGTTGCCATAATTTCAGCATCTGTGTGCCAGGGTGCAAGCTGCTTGGGTGGTTTAATAGGACGACTTACCTTCTTTGCCCTGCAGACAAATCTCATGGGTGCAGAGGAACTCTCTCCTTCCCTTCTCCTCGATATACTTTTCAGCCAAGTGCTGTCTTGTTAAGTGAGTGAAAACCAAGTCACAAACCAATATGCAATAAAATGTTAACACTGGCTTCTCTGGATGCTGGAGGTATGGGTGATATTTATTTTCTCCTTTAGATCTTCTTGATTTTTTTTCAGATTTTCTATAGTAAAACCGAAAGTGTATTTTAAATTATATTCTGAAAGATGCACTCAAGATGTGCTGCATGAAGGCAAATAACAGCTTCCACATTCCTTCACACTTGCCAGCTCCAAATTACTGCCTCTGCCTTTAGAGCCAGGCGATTTGGAGGGGGTGGGAGCTGGGAGGGACTGGGGAGGAGGCTGCAATGTGGGCCATTGAATTTCCTCTTTTTAGACATCGCTCTGGCAGCTAATTCCAGGGTGCTCGTCTGTATGGTGGCAGCGTGACTTTCATGTTTTCCCCAAGGTGTTTTATGGCCTTTTTACCGTGGTACTTGAATAACTTTCTCCCAGTAACTTCCAGATAGTGAAAAAATGTCAGATGATTTCTCTTTCCCCCACCACGTTTCTTCCCTTCTTTGTTGCAGCTCTATTGCTTAATAGGCGTCTCCTTGCCATCTCTCCCTTCTCCTTCCTCTCTCTTCTTTTCTCTCTCTCCCTGCTCTCCCCTCCCTCTTTGCCTCTCTTCACCTCATTTTTAAAGCAAAATAAAGAGAGAGGCTCTGACCTTGCTGGCCCTGGCCATGGGAGAGGGCAAGGAGAGCAAGCCAGGGCTTATCCGTGACCCAGATGGCTGCAAGAAGAGTTCCTGGGGCAGATTCAACCCTTCACTTTTCCAGAAGGTAATTCAGGTTTCAGAGCGAGGGGAGGCTGAGGTTTAGTGGCTGGGTTCCAGGCCTCTTCCCTGCAGGAAAGTTGGCCAACAGACTGAGCATCCGAGAAAAGGCAGGAGGGTCCCTGGCAAGTCAGGTCAGTCCTGTTACGGGGCAGAGCCATTTTAGGTAGCAGTTTTAGATGGCCTTCTAGGTTGATCTGGAGGCATCTGTCATCCTTAATCAGGAGAAGGCAGCAGGCATTTATGAACTGGTCACTCCTTCTGCTGTGTTTCATTCCCTGTCCTTGTTCTCGATTGCAATCAATGTCATCTCCAAGGGGTTCTTTGCTGGACAGTAGCAGTGTGATTGGGCCATCCATCAAGGTTCCTCTATAATGCCTCACTTTTCTTGGTGGCAAATAAGGAGCTGGCGCTCCGTTCTGAGAGACTTGAGTTGGAATAGACCCTGCCTTCTCCAGCCTCCCACCCTACCCCACTCCCTTTAACTAGTTAACTCTACTCATCTGGTTAAGGGCCTCAGTGCAAGCATCAGCTTCTCAGGTAATCTTCCCCTGCCTCTCGTAATGAAGTCAGATCCCTCATCATACGTTCTCATAGGGTTGTGTCTGTCTCCTTCACAATGGATAACAACATCAAGATGTCAAAAGGACTTGAGAGGTTGTTGGATGGCTGTCTGCTGCCTTCCACACTCTAAGCTCCTCAGCCTGGAAGCTCTAAGAGGGTAGTGTGGGGTTCTGCTCACGAATGCAGCCCAACTGCCAAGGGCAGAGCTCGGCACATAGGAGATACTCAGGAAGTATGAATGGAATTAATGAATTAATCTTAGCTCCACCCCTTTTGGCTCCAGAACCTTGGACAAGTTACTCAACCTCTCTGAGCCTCAGTTCCTGCGTTTGAAAATGGTAATAATAATCCCCACTCAGAAAATTGTGGGATTTGTGGGGCAATGACTATAAAGCCCCCAGTATGGTGCTGGGCACCGTGTGTAATAGGCACACATGAAGTATTGGTTTCTTTCTCAGTGATTTTTTTTTTAAAAACATCCCAGAGTATTGCAGCTTAAAGGTTTAAAGAACAAAAACATGTCTCCCTATTTCTTCTCCCTCCTCCTTTCTTTGCTACCTTCTCCTGTGGTGGGTGAGGCATAGAATGGGGGCACAGAAGATCATATTTTGTGATTTTTTTCACTAACGAGATGACTTCGAGTGAAGCATCTTTCCTTCCTGTGTTTCAGCTTGCTCACATGTGTGATAGGAAGACACAGATAAATAGTCTTCATGGCCCCTCCCAGCTCCCCCACTCTGAGTCTCTGCATGAGGCCAAGGGTAACATTGATCACCATTGTTAACAATGCAAGATGAATGGAAGCAACAAAGGTGACATAGCACCAGAGTAGGATGAAGCCAATCAGGCTGTTGGCCTATCTATTTTAATACAAGCTGAGTTTATTTTAGTAATACAGGTGAAGAGTGATTTAAAATATAGCATCATGCCAATACCCCTTAGTAAAAGCACAAGGATTTCTAGTGTACCTTTCTTCAAAAGAGCCTGAGGGCTTTGTAGATACTGTCTCATTAATTCTTTGAGCATCCCAAAAGTTGGCTGGGAAAGCATGATGAGTTCTGTTTTACATGCAGAGAAACAAAGCTTGAAAAAGGTTAAGCAGCTTACCCAAGGTCACGCAGTAACACTGCTGTATCTGAGAACACAGTTCTCTAGCACATCAGCCTATCTCTGGAAATGAGTTCAGTCATGGTGAGGGGCCTTTGTGCTGAGTAATGTGGCATCTGGAGCTGGGGCTTCTTAGAGGATAGACTCTTTATCCTGAAATGACAGGGGTGACAAGTAGATAAAGAGGGATTGAAAGGTCTGGAAGTTAGGAGAAAGTGTTTTGTCCCTCTTCTTCCCCTCACCCTAAGCATCTTCCCTTGGACAAGCCAAGGACCAATTTCAAGGATCCAGGCATCAGGCTTTGTGGTGGTTGCCATGGAAACAGTCGTGGCTGAGCCTGAGACCCCACAGAGCCAGCTGCCCTGATGGAAGGTGTGTGTTTCTAGGTCGACTTCCTGGTTGACCCAAAGGGATCTATTGTCCTCAGTTAGGAGAATGCAGCAAGCATCTCTGACCTGGTCAGTTTCTTTCTTCTGTATTTAATTCCCAACCCCTGTTCCCCAGGAGAATCATCACCTGCAAGGGATTTGTACTGTAGAGTGGCATTCCTAGCTGGTCCACACATCAGAGGTCTGCAGTCATACATCCTATCCTAGTACTCACTGGCAATGTGACCTTGGGCATTTGTGCTTTCCGAGCCTCAATCTTTTCATCTGTAAAAGAGGTTAACTACCAAAGTTGTTGTAAGGATCACAAAAGCAGATGCCTCTGAAAGGCATCAGGGAGCCCTAAGTCATGGTGAATGTGCACACAGTTGCAATCCACTCTTCCACGCTGGAGCTCCCTTCTTCCTGTGAAAGTGGGTCACACTCTCCCCAGGGCACTCACTGCATGATTTCAGGAGTCATCCTGGTAACCGTTACTTCCCAACTTGAAACATCAGGTCAAGAGAAGAGCCAGTTGTTCTTGGATAGTTTGTAGCCTCTTGTCTAACATGTCTGGAGACTCCTGGGCCTGCTGGTGGGTGATTATCCTTACCAGGACTCTCTCACTCCAAAAGAAAAAGGTCTTTTGTTGATGGACTTGGTTTTCCAGGCTGCCCTGTCTTTGTGTCTTTGTGTCTTTGTATCGCTTTCAGTATATTAATTATTTAGTGCTTGGTAAAGCTCTCTGAGATCACAAGATGAAAGGCCTGATGGCAGTTCAAAGCCTTCCTTTTGATTATTATTCTAGTCAACATATTTTGGGGGGAGAAAATAGGCTTAAGATCACAGTGGAGTAAATTTCATAAAGAGCAGAGTACAAGCAAACCACAGAAATGGACCCAAACAGAGAGTCATGTTGCCCTGCTAATGGAAGCACTCAGGTCTTACGGGGGTAGGGAGTGCGGGTGTGTTAAGAATCAGGCCACCTGGAGAGTGATATTTGCTGTCTTGGATTAGTAAAATAAAAATGCCCATTAGTCTTCCACAGCTACCAAAAGCCAGTGTGAGTCCACCTTGGCCAGTTAGGTAGGGCCAGTGACCAAGCACACCTGCAGCAGGGGTTCAGGGCCAAAGGAGACATTGTGACGCTCATGGATGAGTCAGGAGGTGCTTGCTTGGGATGCTGAAATCATGTCTGGAAAGGTGAAAATGCAGTGAGTGACCTGGAACTATCAAATTCTGAGAGATACAGGTTCTGAAGAGGAGGCATCAGCTGTCACATGGCCTTCGTTATAGGACTTTGGCCATGAATTATGAGTCACTAGTACCTGCATAGATGTGGTAGCTCAACTGATGAAATAGGTCCATGTCTTGATCTGCCCCTGCCCCTGCAAAGCATGTCCTACATGACACCAAACCAAAAACAGCCACTGTGAAATGCTTTTCCTAATTTTTTCTAAATCAATGAGCAAAAAAAAAAAGAAAAGAAATCAACATAAACAACAGACCTGAAACTTAAGTTGTGTGAGTGAAATTAATATGCAATTACAATCCATCGTCATTAACATGTTTGTTGAATGGCCTCAACACCACTATCCTAAGTGGTTAAGGAGGTCAGGGCCCAAGTTCAGGTTTTGTTCTGGCACAACCCGAATCCCAGCTCAACTGCTTTGGTGTCCAGCTCAGGGAAGACAGGGACCTTGAGGAGGAGGGATTTGAGCTGGGCCTTTAAGAAGGGGTAGGATTTAGGAAAGCAGGGGGTGGAGAAGGATGTTCTAGGCAGAGATTAGCTTGGGCATAAGTTTGGAGACTAAGGAGTAATGGGATAGAATGTGAAAGGAAGGATTCTGAATGGGAAATAAGGCTGAAAAGGCAAACAGTGGCCAGAGTGTTTGGGCTCCAGATTTACACGCTTTAGCCATTCTGGAGCAACCTCTTTGTGATTCCTTTTTTTTTTTTTTTTTTTGGTATAGGATAGCCTGAAGGTAACCAAATCCCTAAGGGTAGGCACCATGCTAACAATTTCCTTTATTAATATTCCTCACTGTTGTGCCTTGGGAAGGGGTACATGCTTTCATTGGCTGGCAGAGGTCCTTCACCATTGAGTGAACACAAAAGTTATACATGGGTCCTCTTGGGGAGGCAGGAAATGCATGCTGAAGCTATAACTTTTGACAGTACAAAAGAATATTATGGGAGAGTAATTTTTGCTTCAATATTTGAGCTACTAAGAAAGAGCACAAACTTCTCTGGCAGGATGGGATGGGGCTTAGAGAAAGGTGAGGTGGAGTGGGAGCTGTTTAATTCCATCCAAATTCCGCCCTTGACACTAATAGCTCCCTTCTGAATGAGCCAGCTGGAAGAAAATGTGAAAGCAAACCATAGAGAAACAAATATGTATGAACCAGAGAGGACCTTAGCGAGCAGTGAGTTCAAACCGCTCATTTTCCAGGCCTAGAGAAGGTATGGGGAGGGCTATATGTTTAGGACAAATGGTGCATCTGCAAACTCTCTCCTTTCTCTGAAATCACATCTCTGTTTTTCAGACTAAATTAACAACATCGCCCATCACCGCTAACTCTAGGAGTCATGTAAATTTACTGAGGTTTCTTTTGCTGAACAGGTGCAGGCTCAGCCTAGTGAATACCCAAACCATTTCCCCTGGGCTGCCAGTCCCAAAAACAGGCCTGCCCTGTACTCTCTGAGAGCTGTGCCTGATTTGACATCCAGACCACTATTTATTTGGCCACATTAAGCTTTGCTTTGTGTGACACAAAATCATTGTAAACGAATGCATTATTAAGTGTGTTTTCAAATAACAGGGAAAAAACAAGCAGACTGTCACTGATTGTTTTATTGTTGGAAGGAAAAGAAATAAGTAAAACGTGTACAGGCAAGGTAGGAACTGTTCCAAAGAGCATTTAGAATAGGAGCATTTGTTACATTTTATTGATGTAGGTTTGTAAAACATGCTTGCCAGTGAGCCTGGGGCATTCATGTAAATAACCATCACACATGCATAGCTCTTCATTACTTATACTGACACAAGTATGATATATTTATTATATTATGTTCATTGGCTTAGGAATAAATAGACATGCAGTGAGACATGTAAAAATAAAGATTGGAAATACACAGTGCCAATCGGCTGCAATTTGGGTAGTTGTGATCATGTACATTTGGCAAAGTTAATGATTAACTAGTGAATAATAGCGAAGCAGCTCTCTGGGAGCACTTTTGATTTCTGGACGTTGTAATTATTGACACAAGATGATCTAAATATAGAAAAGAGACCAAGACTCCCACTCATTTTGGATTCTAAAACAGAGATAGGAGCATACAATTTTAAGAATGATATGACTGATACTGAAAGACTGTGTCATGCACACATTATCTCATGTGGCCCTTACAAAACCCTGAGAATTTTTAGAATATGCCCTATTCTTATTCTCGTCATCGTTTTCAGAAAATTGAGGTTTGGCAGAGTGTGTGCTTAGCCTGAAGTTAACAGCTAATAAGTGCCAGAGATAACACCTTCCTCCAGGGCGCTGATTTCATTTATTTGACAAATATTTATTGAGTGCCTGCTGTGTGCCAGGCATGGAGACATAGCAGTGACTAGTGCAGGAGGTACACAATGAATAAACCAATATACAGAACACATATATGTGTAAGAAATAGGGCAAAGGGATGGGAGTGGCTTACAATGAGTTGTCTCTCAGCAGGATGACCAGGGAAATTCTTTCTGGGAAGTTGACCTATGGACAGGGACCTGGACAGAGAGAGGGAGTGGCCATGTACCTCTGAGTAGGAGGAGCTTCCTCGGCTGAGAGAACTGCCAGTGCAAAGGCCCTGGGGTGGGAATGTGCTTGGTGAGTTCGGGGAAGAGCAAGGAGACCTGTGGGACTGAGCTCCAGCAATGAGGGAAAATGGTTGCAAATGAGGTTAGAGACAGAATCAGGAGCCAGATCCTGTGGGGCCTTTAGGGGCTAGGCTATGGCAAGAAATTTGAAAGCTATTTCAGGGGCTGCAGTGTCAATCTAACTGCCACATAGAGAACAGACTGAAGGGGGGCCCTCTTTGAGCTCATAGCAATAATGGAGAGATGCGAGATGGGAAAAGATGAGAAGGGGTAAAATTCAGGTAGAGCCATCAAGATTTGCTGATGAATTGATGTGGGGTGTGAATAAAAGGAAGAAGTTAAGGATTCCTCATTGGTTTTTGGCCCAAGCAACCAGGCGAGTATTGGTAACACTTTCTGAAATGGGGAATACCTGGGGTTTAGGGGAAGGGAGGTTAGGTTTTTGGCTTGCTCATGGTAAGTTTCAGATGCTTATTGGGCAATAAAGTGGAGATTTTGAGCAGGCAGTTGGATGTATATTCTGTGTATTCTGTTGTTCAGGGGAGAGATTGGGCTGAAGACACAAATTTGGTAACAGTAGTATGTGGATGATATTTAGAGCCATGAAACTGGGTAAGATCACTTTGAGAGAGAGTTTAGATGCAGAAAATTCCCAAGTTCTTCAACTTTTAACAACTGTCAAATAATAAAATAAAGATCCCACAGAGTTGTTTTTTATGACAAGCTTACTTACATGTCGGGCAAGGAGAAATTCACTGTATGGTTTTCCAAGTAAGAAAAGTCAGAGTTTTTAAAGTCTTACGAAGAGGGCTACAATGTGGTTCTGGTTATTTGGAGTTGAAAATCGGTTCTTTGAACTAAAGAGAATGAATGAATGCATAGGTTTGTGTGAGCATGGGTAAACAAGTTATCTTCATTGGTCAGCAAAGAGTCTTCAGTTAGGTACAGGAAGGGTCTGGTGTCCCGCACTCACTTGAAATTTATTGATCATCAGCTGGTTAGAACCAGTGGGATAAAATATAATACTCAGCCATGACAGTTCCTAAGCAAGTGCTGCCGGAAAAGGAGACGTTTCCTCCTCTACAGTTTGGAAAATAAGGAAGACCTGGCAAAGAAGAATAAAGAGGATCTTCCCACTGAAGCAGGAGGCAACCAAAGACTATGTGGTGACCAGGATGTGAAAAATCCAAGAAGCAGGGAGTGATTGCAGGGGCAAATGCTGCTGAGTGGTCCAGTGAAACAAAGACCTAGAGTTGTTCAATGTATCTGCAGCCTAGGGTCGTCGGCGACCTTGAGGTGGAGTAGTGAAGACAATCTAGATTTTGTTGGATTTAAGAGAACACGGGAAGAAGAAGGTGGAGACAGGAGCAAAGACAAATCTTTTAATAGATTTAGCTGTAAAGAAGAGCAGAGTAAAGGGACAATGGCTGGAGAAGAGTGTGGCAGTCAAAGAAGCTTTTTCTTTCTTTATAAGATGGTGCATGTTTGTGTGACTGACTTGGTAGAGAGGGAAAATTGTTGATGCAGGACCATTGTAACAGCAGATCCCTTGAGAAGAGACGAGACTAGCACCTAAGTGAAGAGGCTGGCACTGTTTAAGAGAGTAAACTGTTATCCTTTACAACAGAAGAGAAGGCACTGATACATGTAAGTGGGTAGATCACTTCTCTTTTCTCAATAAGCTAAGAAACAAATTCATTCACTGAGAATGTGGAAGCATATGGGGAATTGGAGTTTTGAGAACTTGAGAGGAAGTTTGAACTAGTTGTATTGGAAAGAGAGAGAGTGAACTGAGTTAGTCAGGGAAGGCAATGGGATTCCCGGGCCATCCTGAGGGTCTTGAGGTTTCTGGTGATGAATTTAAAATGAGGCCTGTCAGCACTGTTGTGTGTTCCTCCACCCCTCTTCTCCCACTACCACATCTACCTGCTCCAGGATAATTGTAAAGAAAGAGGCAAAGGAGTTGAGATTGTGTGAAATGAAATTATGATAGAGATGAGCCCTGGAGCTGAAGCTGAGGACATTAGGGGGATGATACACAGTGAAAAATTCAGAGTGTCAAGAGCTTGAGGTTTTCACTCTGCCTTGATACCCTGCAGTGCCTAGAAAGGGCTTAAGAAATCATCAGAAAAACAGCAACAATTGTATTGCTAGCAAATCAATAATGCCTTCAGTCCAGGTATATTTCTTCCTCCTTTCTCTTCAGGCCTTCACTTGTCTGCCTCACTTGGGCACCTAGAAGCTCCTGCTCCTATTTCCCCACTCCTTTCTCATCTACGTTTCATCTCCCAAGGTCCAAGAGTCACTCTACTTGAGCCAGTTGGTCTGCATTCATACCTTCACCCATATATCTGCATTGATGAGGCCCATTTCACTCTGGATCCTCATATTTTCAGAGTGGAACCCTGAAAAGACAAGGCTTTCTCTAGCTTAAATGGATTGCTTCTGATGGCATGGCTTCTCTTTCTGCTAGAAAATCCTTCCCTGCAGTGGTTGGGTAGGGCAAGGGTAAAGAGCTTGATGGGAACAGACAGTGTCTTGACCCTGTACTTGTTAAATGCAGAAGTATTTTGTTCTTTATATTCTACATTGATGTGTATTCTGTGAACTTTGACTAGCACTCATTTCTGTTCCAATGCTTCCGATTTTGGAAAACAACTGCATTCATGTGGGCTTTGCTTTCCTTGATCCTTGACTTTTCAGGTGGGGAGGCTCAGCCTTTTGGCTGACCCCCACATTAGCTCCCTAGCCTCATCCGGCTTATCACTTGCACTCCCTACTCTCAGGGGTAAGATTGGAGACCCTGTGAGCCCACTGGCTGGAAGAAATTCTAGGAGTTCCTGTAAGGGCAAGTTAAGACTTTCTGCTTTTTTTCAACCCTGCAATATTCAACCCTGTGGATGCCTGGCAAGTTATTGGTGTTTTGTGATATAAAAGGCTTTAAGCTCATGCTTCTGAAGAGATGGCCCACAGTGATGTCCATATTACCTTGCTGGGTCATGACCCAGCCCTCAGAGCCCTTCCTTTTGAAAGCTTTCTTTTTTTTTAAACCCCTGAATATATTATCTGGCCCCCATTCATATTAAAGTTATCTGCCATTCTGTACCCATTCACAGATTCATAAGTGCTCCCTGAAGTCTAGCCCCATCTGCTTGGTTCCTCACATCCAGGAAGAAGTTAATATCATTCCCAAACTGAATGGTTCAGAAAAATGACATCACTTAGAAACAGGAAAGTATAACCTAGGCTTAGTCTTCCTGTCACTTCAAAGCTACTTAAAATTTGAGATTAGCCAATGACTCAGACCTAGAGTCTAAGTGAATTTTTATTCACATGGAGATTGATTGTCCGAGTCTTCCCAGACCCTTCCCACTTGCCCTATTCTGAAGCATGCTCAGTGGTGGCCTCTGACCTCAGCCATTGTGTCGTGGGGGCCCTGCCAGGCCCTGTGGAGAGCTGAGGACCACCCTGCACCAGTCTGTGGCCTGTGCAGAGTGGTGAAAGGAGCTTGGACTTCAGTGTCAGTTGATCTAGTCTTTTGACCCTGATTTCCTGTCTCCTGCTGGCTGTGTGGCTGTAGTCAAGGTAACTAACGTCTTTATGCCTCAATTTCCTCAGCTGCAAAATGAGGACAAATAAACTTATTCACAAGGTTACTGTAAGAAGTAAACAAAATCACACATTTAAAGCACTTAGCATCATACCGGTCCATATGTGCTCGATACATACTAATTTTTTAAAAGGCTAATAAACTTAACCCCACCCAAAGTAACCCTACGTGGCTTTGCATTCACTTCTCTGAGCCCCATTGCCTATCTACGAAACAGAGTTGATGTGCAGGTGAAATGAGATGGCTTCTCTCTGCAACTCACAAACACAGACTCTCACCCCTTTCAGTGCATTTCCTCTGAGCTGTTTTGCAGAAATGCTGCAGAAAGATGTACCTGGCACAAATCAATTCAGTTCTAATCTCTGTAGACCAAATATAAGAGAAAAGTCAAAATTCTTTCCTAGATACCCAAGAGCCAGCACTTCCAACTCAGAGCTATGGAAAGCAGAGATTAAAATGTTTTTTTAGGAAGGAGACCGTGGAATGCCCATCCTGTCCCAGTTGCAGGGCACAAGGGCCTTTAATAAGCATTGCCTAAGGGCAGCACCTGCAGGTAAAATAGTGGAGGGGTCTGGAAACAAGAGACTGCCATGGGTACCCAGGCCAGAGATTTCCTTCAAGTGTGTGAAGTGGGGTTTATCCTAAAAGGGGGTTAGAGGTAGGAGACCAGAACCTGCAAGAGCTGGTACAGGGGGTAATGTGGAAGAAACTGCAGAGCAGGCAGACTGGGAAAATGCCTCTGCTACTCCTGCTGCCTGCCTTTTCTTCTTTCTCTTCTTCTCCTCTTCTCCCCCTTTTCCTCTTCACAAAGTCCCTCCAAGTGGGTTAACAGTTACCACCAGAATAGCAGGTCAGCCCATTCACCATAGAACATGGCCTGCTGATATGAGGCAAACCTGGGCTCAGTTTCTGCTTCCATCACTTGCCTCTCTAGGTCTCAGTTGATGCATCTGTAAAACAGAGATGATCATTTCTATCTCAAAGAGCCACGGTGAATATCATGTGACATTATGTAGGTAAAGAGTCCAGCATGGCGTCTGTTCCGGGGAAGCTACAGAAGAAATGCTAATTTCCTTCCTTCCCTCCTCCCTGCACTCAGTCTTGTGACACATCTATCTATGAAAGAGAACTAATTCTCAAATCCTTCCTTCTTTAACAAAAAAGGCTTTGTCTGCCGTAAAACATTAGCAAATAGTGATTGAGCTTGGGATTTTCTGGGAAGCACTGTGTTAGATCAGGCAGTGCATGATCATTTGATTTGTAGATATATTGTAATGACTTTTCACCACACAAAATCCACATGAGGTGCTGCTAAGGACAGGAATAATGCTTCTCTGCTGCTTTTCTTTCAAGCCTTCTTTCTCTCATGCAAATCAGAAACATTAATCCTTTTGGCTTTCTGGCCTCTTGGCTTTGGGAAAACTCCGGTCACCTAGCTTCCCCCACAACCCTGACAATAACATAATTGTTAAGAACTCATAACTTCAGAGTGCAGTTTCAGCCCTCTCATTGATAAGGCAATAACCCAAGCAAACAACATTAGAGGAAGTTACAAGTCTGAACATAAAGTAGGGATGGAGGCATTATCTGGACGAGATGAATTGGAGTTCTCTATAAAGCTGCACAAATTATTATAGGCAGAATAGACTTTGGATAGAACTCTTAGACCAAGCCATTAAGTGCCCTGGCTTCTAGTTCATCTCCCAGAGATCCTCAGCATGGCCTTGGTCAGAACATTCAGACCTCTTAGATCTGTCTGCCCTTGATAGAAAATGTACATCAGGGTCCTGAGGTCAACTCAGTCTACTGGTGGCTCAATTTTTTCCCCCTCATCTTCCCGATGGATGTCATGAAAGCCCCTTATAAACTTCATTTTTGACTGATATTGAGTGACAGCTAAAAGACACACCCCAAGCACATGGATCAGTGTTTTCTTTATTTTTATGTCCAGGTCATAGCTCCTTGGAATCACCAACAAACATGCCTTCTCCTTCTCCTGATTATTTTACATGGAATCTCACCTGGATAATGAAAGACTCCTTCCCTTTCCTGTCTCATCGCAGCCGATATGGTAAGTATATGTTTAATATTTACTTGAGATACACTGTCACTATCTCATAATAAGGACTCTGTGAGTTTCAGTTTGGGATTCATAGTGCTCCAGGGCATTCCCTCAGCTCCCTATATGCAAAAGAAGTCTTTCTGAGCCCTCTGTCTCCCAGTGACGCTCAACCCCGTGGACCATTCCAGCCAGGCCATTCCAGCTGCATTCTGTATCCTGGTGGGAGCCAAGGGCTTTGTGTCTGCCATATCCCTCCTGCTTAGCCTTTATGGTATATAGTGTTCCAGCCATCCCCTTATCAATCATTAGAGGAGATGCTTATTTGCTTCTTGACTGTAGCTTGCTTTCTGGTTCTAACCCACAGTGTTTCTAGCAATCACAATCTCTCTCTCTCTCTTTTTTTTTTTTTTTTTTTGAGACAGAGTCTTGCTCTGTCGCCCAGGCTGGAGTGCAGTGGCACGATCTCGGCCCACTGCAAGCTCCGCCTCCTGGGTTCACACCATTCTCCTGCCTCAGCCTCCCGAGTAGCTGGGACTACAGGCTCCCACTACCATGCCTGGCTAATTTTTTTTTTTTTTTTTTTTTTTTTTGGATTTTTGGTAGACACGGGGTTTGACTGTGTTACTGTGTTAGCCAGGATGGTCTTGATCTCCTGACCTCGTGATCCGCCTGCCTCAGCCTTCTAAAGTGCTGGGATTACAGGAGTGAGCCACCGTGCCCAGCCAACAATCAGTCTCTTAAGAGGGGATTATTATTATGAGCGTCACAGGTCTTCCAGGGCCCCTTACAGTTAAGAAGCTCCTTAAAGTTTCCCAAACATGTTCTTTGATATTATTTTGGTTCATTTGATTCTGCAACAGCATCCGACATGAAGAGACCAGGTCCAATTACATTTTTACAGATGTGGAAACTAGGTTTAATAAGATCACACAGAGTGGCTTCTCCAGCTACCAAGCCAGACTTCTTCCCCTACTTTCATTTTTTCTCCCAGGTACCACCTACCCACCCGGGTAGGTCCTGTCCTAGCAGCCCTCAGGAGGCTGCCTTTACATGGTATAAGATTCCTCCTTCTCTGTGCTCATTCTAACAGCTCATAGTAGCTGGGTCTCTGCAATGAGAAGATTTAGAGGAGAGAAGAAGCATTTCAAATGAACATTTTAATTCTCTTGAACTCCTCTAGGGTGAACACCATAAGGACAGACACTAAGCTTTGCTTTCCACTTTATTCTATCGCATGGAAGATATGCATAAAGCCTTATTAGTCTTTCAATGGCTACTTTCAATGGCAATAACCACAGTTACTTTTGCACCAGCCTCATATTTATGATGAATGAATGCAAAAGTCCTCCAGAATGAAACTCATTCATCAGGCCTGATTCAATTAAGTATTTATAAACCTGGTGTGGCACGGAGTTCTAGATTCCCTTCTGGGCATATTTACCTATTCCTCTATGCAGTCTATACCCTTGGGCCTAAGCTATTTAAAATGCACCTAACAGAGATGTTCCACTCACTATAGAAAAGCTTCCAGTCCAAAGCCTGCTGTCTCTCATCTATAACGCTCTTGGTTCATATTAACTGTACCTTTCTGTACCATATTTTAAACTTAAAAAAAAATCCATCAAAAACCCTGGGGCAGTTTATAATTATCTTCTGTGCTGGAATGTTTCCTGTGATTCTTAAGCAGCCCTTGCAGGAGAGAAAGATCAGTGGTCGTCAGGAGATTCCAGATAAGAATTACTTCCTGATTTTATTTAAACCAGACACTGAGTGTCATCTTATGATAAGGGCAAGTATCTATAAATAATTGAAATCTGGATCTTTTCATTGTTAATGCTTTGTAACCAGATTTGCGATACAACTGGTCTTCAGGTAACATTTTTGATTTTGCTCCCAAAGTCATTCAGTATCTCTACAGAAGGACAATTTTTATAAAATGCAGAATGCCCCAAGGGGTAAATCTACCCACTCCATGCTGCAGAGGGCAACATATTTGTTCCCTGTGGAGCATCTTATAAGAGGTTGCAGGTCAAAAGGAGAAAATCATGAAAGCTTATTAAGCTGCCTCCTACCCATGGCTTGGCCCTGATAAACCATGTGGTGCTCCCTGAGCTTCATCCTC
Source organism: Homo sapiens (assembly GCF_000001405.40). Classification (NCBI taxonomy): domain Eukaryota; kingdom Metazoa; phylum Chordata; class Mammalia; order Primates; family Hominidae; genus Homo; species Homo sapiens. The sequence continues at coordinate 29,715,464 of NC_000002.12, read as the reverse complement.
CTTATCTGTAAAATGAGGGTGAAATGGCATGCCACCTTAGGGCAAAGGAATCGATCTGGAGGTTTTTCAAGATCTCTTTCAAACTCTCCTCCTGGTCTGGAATCCTCATGATTTCCCTTCTTGGCAGAGTAGAGGACCCAAACCATTGGCAGTTACTGCCCAAGTTCTGGGTAAGAGTACCCAAGTCATCACCATCGTTGCTATTGATTTATGGGGAAGGAGGAGCTGATTCTTCATTGGTGGTTCCTTAACTGACTATGGTGGGCATTCCAGAGGCTTTACATCTTTCTGCCATATTTAATTCAGCTGAGACTTATGAAGACATTACCACCACCATCACCATCTCTGGGTGCTTGGCCCTGTGCCTGATGTGGGAAGTGATGCAAACATAAAGACAGGTAAGGGTTGGCCCTTCCCTTTCACTGCTCATAGGACAGACAAATCATTCCATAGGCAGCTAAGCCCACTGCCATAGTGTCCCCGGTGGGCTGACCTCAGAGTACAGATGTTGAGGACTTGCCCCAAGACCCACTGCAGAACAAGCTAAAGACAGAGCTAAGGCCAAGAGTCTGGTCCCCTTAAGGATGTTGGTGGGAGCTCAGCCCACATGTCTATGAATCAAAGAGGCCAGCTGAGTTGGGTGATAAATCCATACCTTTCAACTGCCGTGAAAGACATTTTAAGAAATGTTAACAACTTCATTAATTTTAAGGCCTCAAACTTGGGCAGATAAATTTGACTGGAAAATTGCTGCCTGAAGGGATCGTTCTTCAGACAGTGAGAAGTCACCAAGTCTCTGCAAGTCCATCATGGAAGTCCACGCTTGGTTGGCTGTCTTCACCTGCATCCTGGTGGGAGGTCGTCAGGGTGGGGGAGTGAGAGTGAGCATCAACAACCTGACCGCAGGTGTCCTGATGACCACTAGGCTAGGCCTCTGTTGGGTGAGCTGTCCAGTTCTGAATTGGAATGGCTTTCTTTTTTCCAGTGTTTTATGAGAAGAGACAAGGTGGAAAGAGGCTAATAAGATTTATTCACCCCCAGTCTGTAATTATCTGCTTGAGGAAAAAGTTTGACCTACCTTTTTGAAGGCTCCCCATATTTCTTCTAATTTGCATTGGGGCCTAATATGCTGTGTAAAATATATTCTCTTCCGTGGCTTTTGACATCAGATTCCAGTCGTTTCTCGCCTTTGTGTTGAATGACGAGCGCCCACTAATTTCATCATCAGCGAGCAGAGGGCTGCACATTCCTCCCCTAAGGCTTTGAGAGGGAGGACGTCTAAAGAAAGACTTTATTTTTCTTTTTATCATCAGCTCTCATGCCCTTAGACTTATTTATAGGCTTGGCTAAAGGATTAGGCTCTAACTACCTACTCAGATAAAAATCTGTTCCATCAGGTAGCACCAGATGCTAAAAGATTGAGGCCACCGGGGGTTTTGAAAGGCAGTTTTGATCACCTTGAGTTTTAGAGCCACAGAGACAGATGGTATCCTTTCCACCTTTAAATCATATTTGCCCACTCTGGGTATGGGAAGAATCACATCAACTTTTTAAACAGGACGATGAAAGGTTCTGCCCATATGAGCAGGAGAAAGGGACTTTTCATTTATTTAAAAAAAAAAAACATGATACATTGCAAAACTCTTTTTCACCCACTTTTCTCATTTAAGTTGTATTATAAAATTGCAGTAGATGAAAATTATTTTATATTTTATTTTTATGGAAATACAAATCGAGGGTCAAAGGAGTTTATTAATGTGCTTTCATTTTACGGAGTAGGTGAGCCATTAGAAAAGAATGAACCTGGACTTTCTGACTCTCTGTGTGCTCTTTCTATCATATCACAAAGTTATTTCAAAGATGAGCTTTCCCTGCCTGGAGAGCATGCCCACTTCCTGGATGACCTGGTGTTTAGCTAAATGATCAGTCTGATGTCTAAGACCTTGGGTAGCTATGGGACCAAGACTTGATATCACCAAATGGAGACTATCCCAGGCAGGCCAAGTAATTCAACCCTTTCTAACCATGAGTGGAATCCCCTTGGCACTGTAGGTAGTCTTGTCTTCTCTACCCTCCCTCCCCATCCCAGACTATGGTCCCTGGGGATTGACTTGTGTCTCCCCACAAAATTTTGTTAAAGTTCTAATGCCCTAGTACCTGTGAATGTGACCTTATTTGGAAATAGAGTCTTTGCAATCAAATAAAAATGAGACCATACTGGATTAGGATGGGCCTTAATCCAATATGATTGGTGTCCTTATAAGAAGAGAAAACACAGGCACATATAGGGTGCACACCATGTAACTATGGAATCAGAAATTAGAGTGATGTGTCTACAAGCCAAGGAACACCAAGGATTGCGGGCAGCATTGGGAGCTAAGAGGAAGGCCTGGAACAAATCCTTCTTTAGTGCTTCAGAGAGAGCATGGCCCTGCCTACATATTAACTTTGAATTTTTGGCCTCCAAAACTGTGAGAAAATAAATTTCCGTTATTTTAAGCCACCCAGTTGATGGTACTTTGTTATGACTGCCCTAAGAAGCTGATCCAGCCCCCTAATGTCCAAAACATTGGCTCCTGGAAAAGAAAATATTCTTCCCAACATCCCAACATCTAAGCACAACAAAATAATTGTTAGATTTGAATAAAAGTTTTATTCAAACTTTGTCTGCTTTCCAGTCCAAGGAGACCTATCCAGTTCAGGGGCTGGTGCTTTTAGAAAGAAAAATTAGACTTTTTAATTACTTTCCCTGCCACTGCCACCATCACCACCCATCCTGTTAATGTATCAATTTCTTTGATTGAAAAGACTAGGTAAATTAAATATCTCTCTCTCAAAAAAAAAAAATCAGCCTAACACAGAATCAAAAATGGAAAACACAAAGGACCTCTGGCTCTGTATAGGATTTGCTTCATAGCTCTGGCAGGAAGTCAGTTTGATCGCATTTCTGAAATTACGTATTTAATGTGGCTGGCTGTGATCAGCCATTCTGGTCCTCAGGAGCACTGGTGTCAGTGAAAAGCAGCTCCCTTGTGGACTGTTGTCAGGGCTGAAAGCTTCCTTACCAACTCCTCTGCCCCTTCCAGGCCAGGTCTTTTTGTGTTCTCTTCCTAGCCTTGCTCCACTGAGCTAGGGGGTCAAGCTCTTTCCTAGCTCATGCCTCTGTATTTTCATCTACAAGCTTGATAAGCAAAAGATCTCTGCATGCATTCACCACAAAGTCTGAGTCCCAAAGGGGACAGTAATGCTGGCAGTCACACAAGACCAAGGATCAGGGACCACCTATCACCTGGAGGGCCCTGACCTGCTGGGAGCCAATATACTCAATCCATGGAAATTCAATATAAAGGAGTTGCCTTAGGTGTTTCGAGGAGAGACATGTTTAAAATGCTCCTCTTGGTCATATCTCTTTAAAACAAAGACACATAGAGCCATTCATAAATATGAACAATTTATCTCTATGTTGGTGGCAAGTTGAGTAAGGAAATGCAGAAAGAAAAAACGTCAGAATAAAATATAATAAGAGAATGAATGACCATGTGACACAAAGGTGAGAAAAACAAGTCAGAAAAGATCCATTCAAAACACTTTTCACAAAGTGGGACAGACACTGACAAAGGGAAACAGATGATGAGGGGAAGGGGACAGAGACAGAGAGAGACACACAGGGAAAGAGAGAGAAAGACACAAAAGTAGGGGTCGCCCTTGGCTCTCTGACTGCCTTTTCATTTATTCTTTTTCCCGTTGACATGGTTCAGCTCTCACCCCTGGGCAGGTGGCTCCTTAGTGCTTGCTTCAGTCTTGACTTCCCCCTTCAGAGGCCCTCCCACAACCCCCACCCTGCCTGCATCATTTCCCCCTTAGCACGTCTCCACCAACACAGAGAATGGGAGAAGGGATGTCAACAGTCGTGGAGTGCCGAGTGTATGCTTAGTTGTGCTCTAGACATGTCAGTGATAAAGACAAATAGGACACATTTGCTTCCCTCAAGGAGCTCTGGGGGAAGAGGTAAGCATACCTGCTCTTTGACAAATGCAGTAACAGAGGCCCAGGAACACAGAGGAGGGAGGACCAGGTCTGTAGAGGACTCAAGAAGGGAGATGTTTTGGAGACTGCGGCAGCTGAACTGGACCTTGGACTCTAGGGAACACAGAGAGTCAGGAGAAGAGTGTTCTGGACAAAAGGGATGCATGTGCAAAGGTGTTTGGGAACAGGTCAAGCTCTGTGGCAAAGGTTGTAGAGGACCTGGGGTGAGGCTGGAGAGACAGTTACTCTGAGAATGCTCAGGAGTTGGGCATGGTCCTACATATGAGGCATAGGATGGAAAAGAAAGGGAAGGAGGAGAATCTGGAAGAGATTCTGGATATAAGGTGAGCACCACTTGGTTTCCTATTCAGGAGAATCCACCTTGAGTAATTGAGTGGATGAAGATGTCATTGACTGGAACAGAGAAGAGAAACATTTGGCAAGGAAAGATGTTGACCAAGACATCTAGAGGGAGGAGGAAATGTGGTGAGATCCACCGTAATCAAGTTACATTTGAAATGCCTTCAAGACAGCCAGGTGAAGATGGCCAGTAGAGAGCTGTAAACCCAGGTCTTGGCTTTGAGGAGAGAAGTGGATGGAGAGTTATTAGCAGCAAGACTGAGGTTGAGGCCAGGCACAGTTGCTCACGCCTGTAATCCCAGCAATTTGGAAGGCCAAGCAGGTGGATCACCTGAGGTCAGGAGCTCAAGACCAGCCTGGCTAACATGGTGAAACCCTGTCTCTACTAAAAATACAAAAATTAGCTGGGTGCACATGTGCCTGTAGCCTTAGCTACTTGGAAGTCTGAGGTAGGAGAATCGTTTGAACCTGGGAGGCAGAGGTTGCAGTGAGGCGAGAGTGTGACTCTGTATTCCAGCCTGGGTGACAGAACGAGACTCCATCATACACACACACACACACACACACACACACACACACGCACACAGACTGAGGTTGAAGCTGGTGATTGGAGGTTGAAGACCCAGAGGAGATCCAGGATGTTTCATTTGAGAGGTAAGCAGAGGAAGAGGAGCATGAAACAGAGAGATGAAGAAATGGGAGACAGGAGGAGAACCAGGAGATGGTATAGTCACCTGTGTTAGTCTGTGCTCATGCTGCTAATAAAGACAAACCTGAGACTGGGTAATTTATAAAGGAAAGAGGTTCAATTGACTCACAGTTCCACATGGCTTGAGAGACCTCACAATCGTGGCAGAAGGCAAGGAGGAGCATTTTGTGGTAAGTAAGATGTGCTTACCTCTTGCCACATCTTACATGGTGGCAGGCAAAGAGAGCATGTGCAGGGGAACTCCACATTATAAAACTATCAGATCTCATGAGACTATTCACTATCATGAGAACAACATGCGGAAGACCTGCCCCCATGATTCAATTACCTTGCACAGGGTCCCTCCCATGGTACGTGGGAATTATGAGAGCTACAGTTCAAGATGAGATTTGGGTGGGGGCACAGACAAATCATATCAACAGCAAAGCCAAGGAAGTGAGGAATTTTTAGATGAAGGAATGTTGTATGCATGTGTGATACCCCCAACATTCCAATCAGTTCTGTGGAGACAGAATCTCTCTCTGGGTCTAATGAACCATCAGTACCTAATAGGAAGGTTTGCTCATTTTTAGCAGACATGACATGGCTCTTGGATTTAATAGAGCTTCCTTTTGGATACCATATAGCAAGTATTCACAACCAGCAGCTGGTGACCGCACTATAACCCCAAATTAGAACAGTCTGGGAGGTGGTGGACCTCACTTTATCCCCATATTCTCATGGAGAAAATTTTTATGTGTCTCCCCGCTACTTGGTGCCTCTGATGTCACACTTTTCCTTGTGTCTTAGTTATTTGTGGTCCTGCGTTATCACTCTTCCTAGACGTTAAGCATTTAAACGTCAAGGAATTCACATCTTGTTTCCTTTTGCACACCTAGTACTTCTCTCATGTTGTGTACTCATTGTGTACTCAATAGAAGTAATGGCAATGTCTGCTCAGCAGTTCAGGGACAAATGAGGAGCAAACTGAGGTCTCCCAATTCCCAACCTACAGCCTTTCAGCCCCCAAAGTTCTCTGTTTTATTAAAGGGCAGGGACATTCCCACCAGCCCTCTCATTTCTAGTCATATTAATCAGTTTCAGGAAAGAAATGTGTCTGAGGGGGAGACCAGTTCCTGAGCTGGACTTAATTTGGTTGAGGATTCAAAGATGTGATTTTAACTACTTTGAGCAGGCTTGCTTTTTTTCTTTTCTTAACATAAAAAAGCATATTCAGCAGACATGAGTGAGCTGAGGAATTTCTCTTTTGACAGCTTTGGGACATCTGAGATACTGTATACAGAGCACTTCTAACCAACCTAGAAAGACGTGTGTCCAAAACATGTTCAGGAAAAGGACTGATCAAGAGTGAGAAAAATGAGAGAAAATCCTCTTAAAATGTTTTGTCGAGAGCAACCTCAGGTGCAAAACTTTGTGTCAGAAGAGACCTCCAATTCACAGGACTTGAACCAGCCCATTTGGGTAGATGACTAGAATAATTTGGTCTATGAGAAGTTCATAGAAATTGTGAGCTGTCAGGGCCTTCTGTGGTCTGATCAAATAGCCACATCTGTAGGATGAGGAAACAGGCCTAGAGAGGTTAGTGATCTCCCCAGGACTAGCAGCAAAGCAGAGATTCAAACCCAGGCCATCTGCTTGGCAGAGCCCACACCTAACCTCTCTACCATAGAGGCAAGGGTTCATTTTCTTCTCAATAAGATGGCTCACAAAGTATTTTCTCACATTTCAGTCCCATCTGTTGCTTTACACAACTCATCCCTTGAATACCTTGGGTTTCCAGCCCAGCAGAGTTTTGCTGCCCCACAGATTGCCTCAGTGTGGGGTCAGGGCCTTCCTGGTGTAGATGAACACATGGCCACACTCAGTCTAGTTGCCTCATAGTCACTTGGAGAGCACCTTAAAAACAGGATTCTGGTGAGGGTATTCACTGGACTAGAGAACTAGGTCTGGTAATCCTAGGGCTTTAACTCACCTCTGCATTGCCTGTTTAAATCTTCTCTGGGCCAGGCACGGTGATTAATGCCTGTAATCCCAGCACTTTGGGAGGCCAGGGTGGGTGGATTACCTGAGATCAGGAGTTCCAGACCAGCCTGGCCAAGATGGTGAAACCCCATCTCTATTAAAACTACAAAAAATTAGCCGGGCATGGTGGCAGGCACCTGTAATCCCAGCTACTTGGGAGGCTGAGGCAGGATAATTGCTTGAACCCAGGAGATGGAGGTTGCCGTGAGCTGAGACTGCACCATTGCACTCCAGCCTGGGTGACAGAGCGAAACTCTATCTCAAAAATTAAATCAATCAGTCAGTCAATCTCCTCTGTAACATCCCAACAAAAGGTCTTCCAGCCTCTGCCTGAAAGCAACACATGGAACCACAGTGGGGAAAACTCATCTTGGGAATCTGAGATGTGGAATGAATTCCCAGCTCTGATTCTTGTGAGTTGTATTACCTTCAGCCACTACCTACTCCTTTTGGTTGTCTATGTCATCTTTAAAGTGGAGGTGATCAGGATTACCAACTGACAGCATTATTATGAGGACATGACGACAGATCTGAATGTGCCCAGGGCACAGCAAAAGGTGGGTTTTGGTGGCATGGCTCCATTTGCTCTAAGCCTCTTGCTTAAAACTCTTTTAAGTCCCTAGTTTTGCCCTCTGGAACTTGAAAGCATTTTGCCTTTAATCACACTAGTATTTGAGCTGGGATTTAATTCATGCAGTTCAGCTTCAAAATTTATACAACTATACTGAATTAAGCAATATCAGTTCTTCACCTGCCTAGAATAACCTTATCTCCTCCTCTGTTCTTAGCAAACTTCCTAGCCAAACCCTTACTATCTGTTCAAATTGTTTCATCCTTCAAGATGCAGCCCAGCAGTTGCTTTTTCTGTGGACCTTTGGTCCTCCCAGGCAAAGAGCCTCCCTTGTTCTGTTTTCCCTGAGGCCTCTTAGAGTTAGGTATGGGCAAGTTCATCCCCCAACTGGACTGGGACCCTTCCCTGAAGGGTAGAAGGTCTGTGCTCGGGCAGTCTGGTACCTTCCTGTGTTTGAAAACAGGGAGGAATGGAACCCCATGTTCACATTAACACCCAGTAGGTCCTGTCTCTTTAGAGACAGAAGAGTAAGTGGGGAGGTCCGTCTGCATATTCTGGGGTCTCCCTTAACCACCAGGCTTCTCCTGTTGTCATGGATGCCACATTGCTCAGAGTTCATCTCCAGCCTTCTGGTTTCAGGAATAAACCCATTTAGACAGATGTCATATTGAGCAGTGATACAACTGCTAAGGATTTCACCATGCCCTCTGGAGCCTGCTTCATTCTGTTAGAGACTTCCTTACCCAACACACACACACACACACACACACACACACACACACACACACACACACACACACATTCTGCATGAGTGTTTCCTGGAAATTGCAAGCAGAGAATTAAACTGGAAGTCCAATCTGGGTTCTGGTCTCAACTCTCTTACTGCTCCAAGCCCTAGGCCATGCCACCTTGGCCAAGTCCCTTCACTCTTCTGAGCCTTAATTTTCCCATCTATAAAATGAAGAAGCTGAGCTAGTTAACCTCAGAATTAATTATTTTCAATTTTCTGTTCTATGATTAAGAGCAGAGTCCTGTTTTTCTATCTGTAACATAGTAATGGTCACAGATAAGAGAAATAAGAATTCAGCTTTCCGTGTGTATCTCCCACTGCAGTGTGCACATGTGCACGTGCGCACACACACTGCCCTCTGAGGCTGTGTTCATGTAATTGATTGATGGAAGGAGACTTGGCCCTTCTTCTCTTCAGCTTGATTATAAGTGAGCTAAACAGATGTCTTGAATTGGGTGATTGGTTCCCAGATGCATTCCAGGGAGCAGGCTGGTGGGAAGGAAGTGAATGGTTTCAAGTTCTGGGGCTCTATGACAAATGAACAGTGGTTGTGGGCAGAGGGGGTAGGGGCCAGGTTGGATACTTAGTGTTATGAAGCAAGTGACCAGATGTTGATGGCAGCTGGTGGATTAATAACAAAGGTGACTGGTGAGCCAAGGAGATAATCCAGAAAGGGGGAGCCACAGTCCCTAATCATCGGAGCCTGGGCTGGAAGTCAGGCCCCCTGGGTTCCTGCTGACCAGCTGGCTAGAGTGAAGTTAGAGAGTTTATTTTGGCCACCTGCCCAAAGGGGCAATTATTCTTAGCATGGTAGAGATGGAAGAGACCTGAGAATCATTTTATTCCCCCACTCCATTTTACAGATGAGGACACTGAGGTCTGGAAAGCTTAAGTGACTTGTGTGAAGTTATATCACAGAGCCAGAGCTAGAACCCAGATCATCTCGCTGGAGGTCTTCCAAAGGCAAGCTCAATCAGCCATCGCAAAGGAAATATTGAGAGAGGAGCACACGTTTCTCCACCCCTTTTCCTTTTATGCTTCCAGCTGAAACAGGGCTTGAAACAAAGTTTTCTTCCTGCTGTGCTGGATATACTCCCTCTTATGTGCTCTCTGCCATTGCTGACTCCTGGAGACACTTAAAGAGTAACAGCAATGACGCGCATCATTAAATAAGGCCAAATTGTGTGCAAGTCACCATGCAGGGCACTCAACATACACTATTGCATTTCACCCTCCTCACAATTCCAGGAGGTGGTCCCTGCTTTAATTCTTATTTTTCAGTTGAAAAAATTGAGGCACAAAGGGATTAATTTTCTCTGACATGTGGAGCTAGTAATGGCACAGCCAAATTTCCAACTTGGGAGCCTGACCTCATGCAGGATCTGTGCTTGCAGTTACTCCCTGCAATGCCTCCCCAGACACTCTGGTGCCTCTCCCAGCCCCCTGAGAGGTTGATATAAAATAGGGCAAGGAAAGAAGGATGTCTGTTCTAGCCTGCTTCTCCCTGGGTCCTCCAAGGTCAAGTCAGGTCAGTTCATCCCCAGGTTCCTGGTGGTAAATCTGAGGCAGAGGAAGACACAGTGCTGTGTCTGCATCACAGGGCCAAGGTGGTAAGAGTATCCATCTATTAATATATGGTATCTCAGGGTTTTGAAAGCATGGCGACATTCATTACCTTATGCAATCATCACAGCAGATATATATTTATATATATATATATATATATATATATATATATATATATATTTCTTTTCTTTTCTTTTTTTGTTGAGATGGAGTCTCACTCTGTCACCCAGGCTGGAGTGTAGTGGCACAATCTCGGCTCACTGCAACCTCTGCCTCCCGAGTTCAAGCGATTCTCCTGCCTCAGCCTCCCGAGCAGCTGGGATTACAGGCACCAGCCACCACGCTTGGCTAATTTTTGTATTTTTAGTAGAGACGGGGTTTCACTATGTTGGCTAGGCTGGTCTCGAACTCCTGACCTCAAGTGATCCATCCGCCTTGGCCTCCCAAAGTGCTGGGATTACAGGTATTTATATTATTTTTATCAAAATCATTAGTGTGATAATTCTCCCTGGTTTATCCATGAGAAAACCAAGACTCAAGTGGTTAAATGAATTGCCCCAAGCACAAGGCTGATGCGCCTGGAGCTGGGAGGCTTCCTAAGAATTCTCTAGTGAACTTTCCCCTTTGCTTCTGGCCCCATGCTTTCCCCCACCCTGTTCTCACTGTGGCTCCTGGCCTGAGAACAGACCTGCTCACCAGCAGGGAGCTTCCAGCAACCATCAAAAAGCAGTTTGTTGGCAGAAGAATACATGCAGGAGGAGACAACCCAAAAAGCTTTATTGGAGGTGAGTTGAGCCATCTGATCATTGGGAGATATTTGAAACGTAGCCATATATGTTTTTGCCAATTTATTCAAGAAAAAAATAGGATTTTTCAGAATTTTTCTACTTGTTTAAGATATTGTTTTTTGTTATACACAGCTTTGAATAATTATAATAATAACAATCACAGGATTAGAAACAGAATTTTAGTACCAGCCTTGCAACCAGCCACTGTGCATTCTTTGATGATCCCCATCATTCTCCAGCCTTTCCCTTCCTCTCAGAGGTCTCCAAGGTCCCTCATGACTCTGAAGGCCTACATTTGGGACATTCTGATGAATCCCTCGAGCAAAGAGGATCCTCCCTGTGCCTCAAGATTAGTGGCCACTGAGAGAGTTCCCTTGAGCTGGGTACAATCTTTAAGGACTGACAGTGTTTTAAGAATGCTAATTTCTGGGGTTCCATTTAATGAAATGTAGCTTTACGTGTAGATCTCTCTAAAGGCCAGCTGTAAGAGAATTGCCGTGTATGCATGATGTTTCATATGGTTCTTTATTGAAGACACTTAACCAGGCTTGTCAGGAATACATTGGCATTTTCCTATGCCATTAAGAAAACCAGTCTCAGCTGGAGGGGCCAGTAAGTGAAGCCTGAGGATGCATGACAGCTGGTGGTTCAGTACGTCTGACCAGCTCCCGTCTGGTGTTCCCTGAAGAGGTGACATTCAGAAAGACTTCTGCAACCAGGAGAAATGCCCTCCACACTGTATGTGAAGGACTCATTAATCAGTGGCGTGGCCCTAAGTCAGTATTTTCCCTTGCCTGGGTCTTGCTTTTTTTCACTTCTCCAGTGAAGAAATGGTTGACCTCAAATGTTTCTTAAAGTTCTAACAGCCTCTGACTGCAAATGTCACCTAAAGGCAATGCCAACCTTACTTTGGTACAACAAAATCCTAAAGAAATGGTCATGGTCATGTGCCATCACCTCCTTCAGATTGACAATTGGAATACTATTTCTCAGGATGAACAGGAAGCTGTGTTCACAAAAGGCATGGTTATGCAAATTCGGAATCAGCCAATGTGCTTTGGGAATTTCTCCATTCTAAGCACATGCCTCATCATCTTAAGCCCTTTCAGCAGTTCTGGGAAATGAGGCTTCTCACTGAGATGACCTGACTGAGGCTTAGCACAAAGCAGTGTCCCATATCACAGAGCTGACAAATGGCAGAATTAGAGTCAAATCTCAAGTCTTGTGCTCTATTCCTGTGAATCATTCATGACAATATTAAGGTCACTTGATGAATAAGACATATGGCCATAGACATATGGGAAAAGATTGTACGACTGATTGGTATCACAGACATCACCATTCAACAAGTGAGGACAGTCAGGCCCAGCGTCAGGCTCTGTATCCCAGTAGTTAGACATCAAGTCAAGATAACTGGAGACAGAAAAGCATTTTTAGCAGGAAAATAACCCCAATACAAAATCACAATCATATTGTCATATTTTAAGTGAGTGGCAAGCCCGATAATTCTGTTTTCAGATGCAGATCCCATTGACCAAGTATTCAGTTAAATGAATTCTTATAGGCCCCTTCTGAAAACAGATACATCCTGATGGCCACAGAAACTTTGCCCACCCACCCTCAGTTTTCTAAACTGGGATCCCAATCAGACCCAAGAAACACAGCACATATTCTGGAAGACATCAGTGATATGGCTTGGCTGTGTTCCCACACAAATCACATCTTGAATTGTAGCTCCCATAATCCCTACATGTCATGGGACAGACCCAGTGGGACGTAATTGAATCGTGGGGGCAGCTTTTTCCTGTGCTGTTCTCATGATAGTAAATCTCAGGAGATCTGATGGTTTTATAAAGGACAGTTCCCCTGCACACACACTCTTGCCTGCTGCCATGTAAGATGTGCATTTCTCCTCTTTCGCTTTCTGCCATGATTGTGAGGCTTCCCCAGCCATGTGGAACTTTAAGTCCATTAAGCCTCTTTTTCTTTATAAATTACCCAGTCTTGGTATGTCTTTATTAGCAGCATGAGAACAGACTAATACAATCAAGAAACCTAGAAGGGAACTTTAAGCCCTGGGCTTTATTGCACTTGTGGCTTTGGCTTCCTGAGCCGTACACCCACTGAGATTCAGACTTAGATCTTGGTGATGTGTCCTCTGACTCAGTCCTCACCTAGGGCATCCCAGGCCCAACTTTATAGGTCATATCAGAACCTTCAAGATAGCGAAGACACTCTGGCTCCTGTCCTGCCCCCAGCTTTGCCCTGCCTTTCCCTCTCTGGGCCCAGGTCCTTTCCTGCCTCACTTGTAGAGCTTGTACATTGTTGTAGTATGAAGTGTGGCCATTTAGAATATCGAGATTCTAAATCAGCACATTGGCTGATTCAGAATTTGCATACCATGCCTTTTTTTTTCAGCACAGCCTCCTGTCCATCCTGAGAAATAGTATTTCAATTGTCATTTTGAAGGAGTTGATGGCACATGACCATGACCATTTCTTTAGTATTTTGTTGCACCACAGTAAGGTTGGCATTGCCTTTAGGTGATACTTTCAGAGTCAGTGGCTGTCAGCTCTGCCTCACTTGTGGAGCTCGTACACTGTTTCCTGCCTCACTGCAGCCACAGACATGTCCATGTCTGTGGCTCTACATGAGGGAAGCTATGTCTGCTGCCTTTTCTATTGGCAATCCCATTTGTGACCTACTGAAATCAGGGCCTCAGGACTCACAGGAAGGAAACACATCAGTAAAAGACCACATAGCCCCTTCCTATCTGAGTAACATCAGATGTGACTTCACTTCTCTGAGCTCCAATGCCTTCATCTGTTGAATGGAGATAAGAATCCTGCCTAATTCATAGGGATTAAATAAGATGATCATGTAAGGTGCCTGGCATGGTGACCAGCCCCAGTGAGTCCTTGGCGAGTGTTATTACTTATGAATACACTTCCCACACGCCTTCACAGAAGTCCTCTCCATGGGGGTCAGGGCTCTTCTATACACACTACAGCATGCGTTGCCAGGAACAAGAAAGTAAGACCTCCAGCTTTACTTCATAATAAGAGACAAAATCAAGAAGGATGAAGTGTTATGGAATTGATGGGCATGGCATTCTTCTCTTTTTTATGACTCTTCCTTTCATTCTGCAGTATTTGCTTCCAAAGCTCACGGTGGCCTGAGGCTGCAAGGCCTCATCCAAGGGGCTGATGTGGACCTGCCCCAGGGGGCTGCCCTTTAAGGCCCTGCCACCCTACATTCACCTGGAAACTGGGCAATGTTGGAGGGGATGTCTTTAAAACTAAGGGGAGCTGCTGGTCCTCTACCTTGAAACTGACCCAAGGTGATTTAGAAAACTAGTAGGATTTAGGAAACTAGTCTCTGGGTTAACAGGCTCAAGGTTAAGGAGGCATAAAGGGCCTTGATCCAAGGGATTCTGGGGAAATCTGAGGTCAGTCTGGATACAAAGGAGCATTGTTAGATATTCTGAGCCCACTCAAGAGGAGACCCAAGTGTCCAAAATGCACCAAGCTCCCTATTCCCCTTTTGTGGTGTTATGGAGAATAGCTGGAACCTACATGCAATCTCCTTGAGTGTCTCGGCCTGGTACATGGCCCCGGTTGGAAGGCCTCCATCTCTGCCTGAGTAACCAATGCTGGGCTTCCTAGGCACAGGCCTTGGGCCTGACTGCTTTGGGAGTCTCACACATTCCTAGAGGCTATATTTCCACCCTCAGGTTCAGAGTGTTCAAGGTGGTTTGTCATTGACAACTCTTCTACAGCCAGGGGGTTTTGATAAGGGAGACTGGGTATGTCTTTGGGCAGGGTCACCACCGTGGTTTTCTGATACTTACCACAACATTTTCCTGAATGGCTGTGCTTCATACTAAAACAATGTCTAGAAGCTAATTGTTAATGAATTCAGTCTTTAAAAATGTGATTCATATACTGGGAGATTTCAGGAAGTGAGTATCAGATGATAAAAATGCATGAACACACACACACACATGCAGGTGTGTGCACACACACTCACTCGTTCATCCTGCAACTATTATGTGCAAAACTCACATAAGCTTTCCTTTTTGTGTTTTTGAGATGGAGTTTCTCTCTTGTTGCCCAGGCTGGAGTGCAATGGTGGGGTCTCGGCTCACCGCACCCTCCGCCTCCCGGGTTCAAGCCATTCTCCTGCCTCAGCCTCCCAAGTAGCTGGGATTACAGGCATGCACCACCACACCTGGCTAATTTTGTATTTTTAGTAGAGACAGGGTTTCTCCATTTTGGTCAGGCTGATCTCCAACTCCCGACCTCAGGTGATCCACCCACCGGGCCTCCCAAAGTGCTGGGATTACAGGCGTGAGTCACTGCACCCAGCCAAGCTTTTTAATTCTTTGAGAATCTGGAGGCAAACCAAGTCCCCATTGAGTGTGATGTACATTCACCCTTCTTCCATAGGAAATCTGCCTCTTGGGATGACAACAAGTCCTTGTTTAGGGGCAGCATCTCCTGAGCAGAGGCAGGCTGAGTGGTCTGTAGGTTTGATTGTGTCGGCCCAGGGTAAGCCTATAGAATCACTGACCTTCAGAGATGAATGGCACCATGGAGGGTACATGCTCCATTTCTTTCATCTTCCAAATGCAAAGAAACAGGCCTAGAGACAGAAATAGACCTGCTGGGGTCTCAGCTGCTCTGTGCAGGACCAAGCCCAGAACCATCCTCACTGCTCTGCTAGAGCCCTTTCCCTTCATAGCACTTGACGCTCCTCTCAGCTGGCAGATCTTTTCCAGAAGGTTCCATTACCTTACCTTTCTTCCATGATGGAAATAACAAGAAAGTAAGTGACAATGATTTCACATATGTGATAGGCAGGTCCTGGAAAGTGTGTCTTTTTCTCAATGCTCTTTTTCAATGGTCAGATTCTCTTGGGTTAAAACAAAAAAAGGTCAAGATCTCTGGATCCTCCTGAAGGTCATAGTCATTCTGCAAAATGGGCCTGACATTTAGAAAATATAGATCTGTCCCCTATCATGAAGAAGGCTTTTCAGATATGAAAAGTTTACAGGCTTTGGGTCTAAGAGTAACCAAGATAAAACACTTCATTGGTTTCTCATCTATTGTGTAAATTAATCTTCAGCCCTAAATTGAGATTCTGAAGCTGCAGGAGAGAGATGAACAACACTGGATATTCTGCATTATCCAGTTCTAGGTCACTCTCTGGGTCTGCCTTGGGGTAGTCCTTTCATTTGGGGGCAAGAAAACTTTTTAAGCCTCAGCTTCCTCACCTATAGAGAGAAGAAGAAACCGTCCACTTCTCAGTGTTGTTCTGCAGATGAGGTACAGTGATGGAAGGAAAACACCCAGGACAGTGCGTGGAAGACCGCCAGGAGGGGCTGAGGGAAGGTAGTTTCCCACCCCTGCCCCTGGGTGGGTGTGGACCTGCCTCTGCGGTTGGGTTGCTTAAGGCTGAGCACTGTGCTGAAGCCCTAGACCCCTCTGAATCCCTCCTGTAAAATAGATTCTACAGTCTCTACCTCATAGGCACTGAGTTGGAAGAGGGTGAAGGAGAGAGATTCAAGAAGCACACTAGGTCTAGAACCTCGGAAGAGGCCCAAGGAAAATAAGACTTAACCTGGTGTTTTAGGCAAGTCCCAAGGTATTATTGCCCAAGAGGCACTGAGGCTAGTTTGAGTGAGAAAAACCTGTGTCTCCATGTTTTGTAAGAAATTAAATCAGAATGTAGAAAAGCCTAATTCAGTTTCAACCAAATGAGTAGTAATATTAACTCCATTCCTATTTAAAGCTAGAAAGTACAGCTTTAACAGCTAAAAGGAGGTTGCTGCGGACTAAGAATTACAGAAGGAACGCATTTTAATCGGTACATTTGCATAGCCTGTTTTACTAGGCAGGATCTGGCCCAAACACAGCCAATTATCACACTTAAACTCTCCAGAGTTCAAAGATCCAAGAATTAATATGCTCGGTGCTGGGATTGTATATTGCACTGTCTGTCTGTTGTATACACATGTAGGGCACATTTGCCAGGCAGGACACAACTCAGACAGTTGGCATGCCTCACCTCTGTCTTGAATAGAAACAGGTCATCTTTCATTGGAAGAGAAAAATCAAGGTAGGGGATGGCCGCAGAAGTCGAAGCTTTGGGAAAGGCACTGATAATTGTCAATGTGGGATGGGAGTGGCTGGTGGCTTTCTCACCTTTTTACTGACATGAACATCCACCAATGTGGATGTGTCTTTTTGACCCTCCCTAGAGGAGTTACATTTCATGGCTACGCCTCTCCTTATTAGTCATGTTTCATGGCTAATCCTTCCTATGTCACTTTGGTGTTGCAAAGTACAAAATGTTGGACCAGTTTTCTCTTTGCAGTCTGCTCTGAAAACCAGGTGTCTTCAAGCACATCTTGAAGATTAAGGCAGCCTGTGGTTCCTGGACACCAACTGTAGAGCAAGTGGCTTATCAACTCAAACAAAGTGAGAGCTACCCATTTCAGCTTGCCACTATGAAGGCAAGTTGTCTGAATCGTGAAAGGGCAAGGAGTATTAACCTTAGGGCCAGAAGGATGGCAGCTCCTGGAAAGCAGCTGAGGAGCAGAAAGACACTCAATAGAAGTGTAATTGAAGGATTTTTTTCTTTTCTCCTACAATTGAATAGTTTGGTTAGTGTTAACAGGAATATTTTGCTCCCACTCTGCAGCAGGGCCAGCTGTCTATGGGTGTGGACACCCATTGGGAGACAATCCAGTGGCCGGCTGCCTGCCTTAGAATCTGCCCCCACTGTATTCTGAAATTTCCAACACCAGAATTGTCTTGGAGATTGGGGTAGTAGTAGCCTCAGAAGCAGCTGTTAAAATGCACTGCTTTAACAGCTTTTGGTTTCTTTTGGTGAGAAAACCAAAGTTCACACATGAGAGGTAACTAGTCATGCCTGGACTCAAACTGAATTCCTCATATTGTCTGTCCAATATCTATCACATTATCCCATTTTTTCTTATTCCCACGGCTTCGGGGAGAGGATGAAGTAAGAGGTGGTTGAACATTTTGCATCTTGGCATCTTCTGTTAATCCATAAGCCAGCTTTGAGAGCCCGCCATGGCAAAGTTCTTCAGCCACTTTGGGGAGTGGACAATGAGCAAGGAAGGGGAAGAAAAGCTGAGTGGCCCATGTACCCTAAAAGTGGGGCAAACGTGGAATCATTGGACAGAAAGAGTCTGCCCAGGGAAGCTCAACAAAGTACAAAACATCCCAGGGCATGGGCCCTTCCTGCCTCTCTTTTCTCTCTCTCCTTACCCAATGACCCTCCCCAAACACTCCCCAAGAGAAAATAAACCCTGACTCATTGTCATAGCCTTGGCCCTCTTCTCTGGAGAGGAGATCGAAGGGTAGATTATAGGGCTGGCAAAGCAGGCTGTGAGGAAATTCCAGTTACCTATGGCCTTTCCCTTATCAATCAGAAAGGACAGGGCCTGGCTAGCATTTTTCAGAGCATCAAATATGGACCAGGTCCATTTTTCATAGGCAGTACTTTTTTATTATTTATTATTTTATTTTTTATTTTACTTTAAGTTCTGGGATACAAGCGCAGAACATATGGATTTGTTACATAGATATATGTGTGCCATGGTGGTTTGCTGCACCTATCAACCCATCACCTAGGGTTTTTTATTGTTTTTATTTATTTTATTTTATTTTTTTTTTTAGGGAAAAGGGCAAGCAGGTTTTATTTCTGGCCAGGCATGGAGAAGGAGAGAGCACTTGCTCTAAAGACAGCTTCTCCCAGAGCAGTGGGAAGCTGGGGAATGTTACAGGGTTAGACGTGGGTCAGGGGCTATGTAAGCTTGTGTTGGGAAGAACTTCAGACACGCAGGTGCAGATCAGGAACATGCTCTTCATACGACACGTGTGCAGAAAGTGGCAGTGATTCTCTTCTATGGGTGGGGACTTTTGCATTATAATGATACGCTAATGATCTAAAGGTGACAGGGGCCACTGGTTCTGGTTTGCTCTGGTTTTGTGCAGGCCTTATCCTCCTCTGCAAAGCATGCTGAAGTTCCTAGGCCATCTGGAATTCTTTTTTTTTTTTTTTTTTTTTTTAATCCTTTAAGTTCTTGGATACATGTGCGAACATGCAGGTTTGTTACATAGGTATACACGTGCCATGGTGGTTTGCTGCACCCATCAAGCCTTCATCTACATTATGTATTTCTCCTAATGCTATTCTTTCCCTAGTCCCCCACCCCTCGACAGGCCCTGGTGTGTAATGTTTCTCTCCCTGTGTCCATGTGTTCTCATTGTTCAACTCCCACTTATGAGTGAGAACATGCCGTATTTGGTTTTCTGTTCCTGTGTTAGTTTGCTGAGAATGATGGTTTCCAGCTTCATCTATGTCCGTGCAAAAGACATGAACTCATCCGTTTTTAAGGCTGCATAATATTCCATGGTGTACATGTGCCACATTTTCTTTATCCAGTCTATCATTGATGGGCATTTGGGTTGGTTCCAAGTCTTTGCTATCGTGAACAGTGCCTCAGTAAACATATGTAGGCATGTCTGTTTATAGTAGAATAATTTATAAACCTTTGGGTATGTACCCAGTAATGGGATTGCTGGTGATTGCTGGGGATTGCTGGGTCAAATGGTATTTCTGGTTCTAGATCCTTGAGGAATCGCCACCCTGTCTTCCACAATGGTTGAACTAATTTACACTCCCACCAACAGTGTAAAAGCATTTCTATTTCTATTTCTCCACATCCTCTCCAGCATCTGTTTCCTTTTTAATGATCGCCATTCTAACTGGTGTGAGATGGTATCTCATTGTGGTTTTGATTTGCATTTCTCTAATGACCAGTAATGATGAGCTTTTTTTCATATGTTTGTTGGCCACATAACTGTCTTCTTTTGAGAAATGTCTGTTCATATCCTTTGCCCACTTTTTGATGGGGTTGTTTGTTTTTTTTCTGGTAAATTTGTTTAAGCTCTTTGTAGATTCTAGTTATTAGCCCTTTGTCAGGTGGATAGATTGCAAAATTTTTCTCCCATTCTGTAGGTTGCCTGTTCACTCTGACCCATCATCTAGGTTGTAAGCCGCACATACATTACATGTTCTTAGGCAGTATGTTTTACCACCAGTTCTTACGGCAAACTTGAGTGGTAATTATCAGCCTAATGTACAGGTGAGGGAATTAAGGGTCAGAGAGGTGAGTTTTCTTGCTTGGAGTCACCGGGCTGGTAAAAGCAGAGCCAGACTTGGACTCAGCCCTCATGGGTTTCTTGGGAAGGCTCTGCCCACTCACCCTCAGGCCCTCTCTATGTCTTCAGGTAACTTCACAAGATGCAGAGCTTCTCACCATTCAACCTGTTAGTTAGCTTTGTTTTTTACCTGCCTTCTCTGAGAACATCTCCCGTAATATGAGTTACAGAAAGAGCACATTTTATTCTCTTAGGTCCCTTTTCACCAATACAGAGCCCTGTGGTATTGACAACTGATCTCCCTTGGACAGGGCAAAGGATGTGGGGAGATGAAGGCCAACCTCCTAGTGTGGAGTGGAGGGGGCTGAAAAGTCACGTTTGGGAAATGGTTTTTTCCATTGACCCTTGGCTATTATTGCAGGTCTGGAGTGCAGCTTTGACTTCCCCTGTGAGCTGGAGTATTCCCCTCCACTGCATGACCTCAGGAACCAGAGCTGGTCCTGGCGCCGCATCCCCTCCGAGGAGGCCTCCCAGATGGACTTGCTGGATGGGCCTGGGGCAGAGCGTTCTAAGGAGATGCCCAGAGGTAAGGGAGAGGCTGCTGGTGATGTCCTGGGTGGGTCAGGGCCAGGCTGGAATACCTATTTCTGTTTGAAATGATGAGACTTCACTCCTGTTCTGCTCTGTTTACTTTGAAACCTGCTTTTAATATCTGTGACTTTCCATGGCTTCTTGGGCCATGCAAGGAGGGGAGGAAGACAAGTCCCATCTCAAGATCAGCCCAAACCTTTATTCTTTAACAAGTAATAAAAGTAGGGTTTCATAACTCTCTTCCATGCAGATTTCCCTGCAGGAGAAAGTGCTGATCGGTATTTGAAATGGGATTGCCAGATAAAATACAAGATACCTCATTAAATTTGAATTTCAGATGAACAGCAAATGATTTTTTAGTACAAGTGTGTCTCATGCAATAGTTGGAACACACTTAAACTAAGAACTACTCCAATTTTACAAAACAATTCAAATGTAATTGAGTGTCCTGCATGTTTATTTTTACTGCCAGATCTGGCAATCCTAATTTGGAAGGTATTGTAGAACTGGCTTAAATGTTTCTAAGCCGTTCATAAATACTCAGGCGACACATTTGCTTGGTGTGATGCTTCCTGTGGTCTTGAGCTGTTTGTGAATGTCCCCTTCTTTATTATCAGGGCCTAGGAAAGGTAGGCTCAGAGGAAAGTAGTGGGCAACTGTTAAATTGTTAAATTGTGCTGAGTTTCTTAGACAGAGACATGAAGGCACTAAGCTCTAGTCTAGTTTTATGTCTCACCAAGCCAAATCTTGGGACTCCCAATGTCTTGGACCTAGAAAACTCTACTAACTCAGAATTGAAAGCCTATGTTCCTGGCTTTTTGGAAGAAGGAATAACTGAAGTGGCAATGGGCTTATTAGACATTCAGGGTAGTTTTTTCAGTTTGCAAAGCACTCCCACCTACGCTGTCTCATTGGATTTCAATGAGAGAGGCAGGGCAGATAAGAAAACTAGTGCTCAGAGCGGGGGAGTGACTGCCCCAAGATCACACAGAATGTACATGTGGGTCTGGGTCTAAATACTTGCTGTGATGAGTCCCAGACAAGGGCACTTTCCACCACATCATGCTTCTGTCTTTGTAGAAAGACCAGGACCAGAGCCTGCTCTGTGGCCAGATTCTCGAGAGAATCTCATCTCAGGCTTATGCTACTAGGGAGCCTAACAGGTCAGGTCTTGGGTAAGCTGATGAGGGAGATTGGAGGTGGCACAAAAACAATTAATGCTCTCAGGCTTATACCTCAGCCTCTACCTTGTCATCAAAGAACCAAAAGAGACTTTCCTTTCTATACACTTTCCTGGGCTGACTTTTTGTTTTTATAACTGTTTTGGGATGGGTTGACCTTGACTTATATTTTAAGCTGCTTTTATCTGGATGGTGATAGGTATTGTAGGGTGTGTGTGTGTGTGTCTGTGTGTGTGTGTGTGTGTGTGTGTGTGTGTAGGTGAGTGCTCTTAACCTGACAGTGCATCAGAATTCTTCTGGATATCTTATAGAAAAGACTGCCTAGATCCTATAACCTGAGATTCTGATTCAATAGATCTGAGATGGAGACTACGTGTCTGTGTATTTTACATTTCTACTAGGAAATTTAGCAAAAAGTGGATATAATATACATGCATAGATTAGAGATTACAGCAAAACCAACAACACTTGCATTCTCACCACCAAAAAGCCGAAGAATCTGAACATTATCAGTCTTTTTGGAGTTTCCTGTATCCCACCTAGATCACAAACTTTTCCCCACCCTCCAAGGTAACCACTCTCCTATATTTTGTGTGAATCACTTATTTGCTCTTCTTCATGGCTATACCACCTATGTATACAGCTCCAAACAACATATTGACTAGGTTTGCATGTTTTCACCCTTGTATATAAATGGGATTAAATTGTTTTTGATCTGTTCACTTTGATACATGTGGCTGTGATTCATTTGCTTTTGGTACTATATTAATCCTTTGCATAAAAATATCACAATTGATCTCTTCTACCGTCATTGAACATTTGAATTATTTCCAGGTTCTTGCTATTGCCATCAACACAATTGTAAACATTTTTGTACATCTCTCTTGGTGCACATGTTCAAGAATTTCTCTAGAACAGGGATCCCTAACACCCAGGCTGAAGACTGGTACCTGTCCATGGCCTGTTAGGATGGGATGCATAGCTGGAGGTGAGTAGCAAGCAAGCCAGCATTACTGCCTGAGCTCCGCCTCCTGTCAGATCAGCTGCCGCATTAGATTCTTATAGGAACATGAATCCTATTGTGATTATAAAAACGTGAATCGTATTGTGCACTGTGCACACACACAGACTGTGCATGCAAGGGTTCTAGGTTGAGTACTTCTTATGAGAATCTAATGCCTGATGATCTGAGGTGGAACAGTTTCATCCCAAAACCATCCGTGGAAAAATTGTCTTCCAAGAAACTAGTCCTTGATGCCAAAAAGGTTGGGGACCATTGCTCTAGAGCATGTAACTAAGAGTGGAATTGCTGGGTGAGAGGGTCAGAACATCTTCCATTTCATTGGGTAATGCCAATCTATTTTCCAAAGTGGTTACACCAATTTGTACTCCCTCTAGTAATATATTGGTATTCCTCCCCATGGCTTTACATCCTCATCAGTATTGCTATTGTCAGGCTGTATTTTTTTGTCTGTCTGGTGAATTAAATACAGCATCCCATTGCAGCTTCAATTTTCATAGAAATCTGTTTTATTTCATTTTTCATAAGTTTCTTGGATGATTCTGAGGCATAGCTGGGCTTGTAATACTGTTGACTTACTCCCATTCAGACTTACTCCCATTCAGCCACCCCTAGGACTATCTCCAGATTCCAACACTTGACCTCTAGAAACATTTTTTTTGGTCGTTACAGGTTTTTTAAAAATTTATATTCCAGGAGTGGAACTGTGATTACAGTTCAGTGAGATCAAGAGACAGGGACAAGTGGAAATTGTGTTCTTTGTAAATTCCACAGATGTTACTGAGTCACACATGATAACTTTGAAAGTTTGTGCTTTAAAGAAATGTTTTTAAACAGTGCCAATAAATTGTACATTTCACTTGGTGACCTGTTTCTCCTCCTCCACCTGTGATCGCTGACATGCGCACAATACACTGAGTGCTATGACAAAACAAAAAAGAAGGGGGGGAGAGGAGGGAAGGAAGAAAATAAATAAATTTTTACTTCTCAGCATTCTTTAGCATGGAAACATATCAATGCCTTTAGTTTTTATGAAGCTGGATCCCAAGGGTCAGTGCACACACTGAATGTGAAACTTTCCCATTAGATGAATCAGGATTGGAATATCTGTTTTTTTTAAAGTAAATGTTGTCAACTTCCATTGCTCTGAAAAGTCATCACTGTTAGCATCAGGTAGTAGTTAGCAATACTAAGGATGGTGGTGTGAACAACCATAGCAAAAGCTGCTGTGGATACACCAGTCTCCTTTACCAAGCTCTTTCATGAATGGACACATCCAAACATAACTTAAGAGAGGCTCACCACTGTCAGAAACTTCTGCTAATTTGTCTGGGGTCTAATGGAGTGGTCTGTACTCACACAGCATGGATCAGTCACGGAAATGAGGAGGTCAGCCTCCCAGCCCTCCCAGAAAATCCACTGCTTCAGTAATGGCACTGAGAGGTGTTTGGAGCTTTCAGGAGTGCGTCTCTCATCACTTTTGTAGTCAGTTATTTATAACACTACCTTTCCCTGAAGTAGCGTTGTTCCTCATGAAGCAGCCTATTGTAATAAACTCCCTTGACCTTCAGGGAAAGAAGTGAAGGTTCAGGAAGAGAAAACAACCTGTCCATTCTGCACAATGGCCAAGCAGTGTCCTATATTCCAATCCTAATCCCAGAGCTTTAGAGTCTCAGTTTCTTGGTCATTTTGGCAGAAAGGGTGCTGGTGGTGAAGATGAGAAGTGGGGATGGGTTGCCTTTAGTATTATGTAGTCACTAGTTTGTTTTCTAACTCAATATTCATGGGTCAGATAGTATTTAGATGCTATTGCAATATTTCTTGTCAGTTATAGAAGGACCAGAAAAAGGCAGCAAGATGATACCAATCAAAGATAATGAACTATAAGTGTATAAATCCTGAATGGTTTTAATTTATGGCCTCTGTAGCTGAGAATAATAAGGAAGATACAATTCAGAGCAGCAAGATAATAAAAAGTGATCATTTTGATGGAACATAATATTATAAATTACTAAAATCTTGAAGAACCATCAGATGGAGGCATTCTGTGACTTTTTAAGAAGTGCCAGGGGCCATGTTGATGTCTAACTGCTTCCGGTGTTTTGGAATATAGTCAAAGGTATTTTTCTTCTCCAGTAAGGCAAGATTTTACTCTGTAGCATGAATCCTGGCTTAAAAATGGAAAACACACTCTCAGCCCATCTGCAGAGCCCTCTCCCCAGGGCCTCACTCATGGGCACACGCAGAAAAGATGGAAGCAGACTCCACAGTGAGGAGGCTCCTATTCTTCCTGGAACAGCTCAACTCTCTCCCCGTCCTCTGACTCTCAGGTTTTTGCTTTGTTTTGTTGTGCTTTTGGTGGAGGGTCTGGATGCAGCACTGCTACTGAGGTTCTTCTGTTCATCAAGATGGCTTCATTTTCAAAAGATGGTGAAACACCATCCTGGAGCCCTGGAGTGGCTAAGGATGCTTTCACACATGACTAGGGTATTGCAACAGCAGAATGGGGTCATTCAAATTTTTGATGCACTCCTGTTGTACCCTTGTGTATTAGTTTCCTGTGGCTGTTTTAACAAATTCTTACAAACCGGATGGCTTAAACAACAGAAATTCATTCTCTCCTCATTCTAGAAGCCAAGAGTATGAAATCAAGATGTCTGCAGGGTTAGTACCTCCCGGAGGCTCTGAAGAGAAATCCTTTCCATGCCCCACTCCAGCTTCTGGCATTGCCGGGAATCCTTGGCATTCCTTAGCTTGTAGATGTCTCACTCCAAACTCTTCCTCTGTCATCACATGGCATACCTCCTGTGTCCTTGTCTGAAATCTGTATCTTAACGGGACATGTGTTATCGGATTGAAGGCCCACCTTAAGTCCAGCATGATCTCATTCTGGAATGCTTGATAACATCTGCAAATACTCTATTTTCAATTAAGTTCATCTTCACAGGTACACAGGGGTTAGGATTTGGACATATGCCCTGGGGGCCACTCTTTAGCCCACTATGCCTTGGTTTTTCTCCCCCTGCGTCTGGGTTGGCATGTGGATCCCATGCATCTGTGGACTGTGAATTCTTAGACCCTTCAGGAAGTCTGATTAGACAGGTTCAGAGGAGACCAGATTCATACCAGCATTTCTCATCCTTTCTTCAATTTCTTCCCCTACCCCAAAAGTTTGCCATGTTCTTAAAAGGGTCCCTGAACACCTCTCAAGTGAACTGTATCCCAGGAGTAGCAGGGACCTGAGTCACCTTTTGAACTGCAAGTGCAGACTTTGCGGGAAAATTCTCTCAGGATATAGCCTCCTTTGCACCCACAGTCACTGCAGGCTGCAAATAAGTGGCTGAGCTGACTCTGAGTCTCACCTCTGACTCTTGATCTTTTGAGGTATTGATAGGCTATGGAATGATAAAGGGCTGCCCAGCATTTCCTCCTTCATCAGTGAAACTCATCATTAGCCACCCATTTCTGAGTTCAGGCTTCATTTGCTGATTGATGGGGACCTCTGACACCTACATGTGTATGGGTTTGCCACTGTTTCTGGAGAGCAAGTTCCCTAGGTGAGGAAGGGTAGGAGGTGTCCTCATAGATGAGGACAGGCTGTCAGTAAGATGGAGACGGACGACCTTCAGAGCTGGAGAATCACTGATCTTTCTCCCAAAAGTGCTGCCATTGTCCCTGCTCTGCACCACTGCAGAGTGAAATGTGCTAGTGCAGGCTTCAAGTCCGGCATTTATGGCCCACAGGGTTCAGTGGCCACCCTGAAGTTCATCTCGTTAATGGGAGTCAATAATTACACACTTCAGTTTGTCTGTAGGAACAACCTTTAGCAAACCTCTTATTTTAGAAAAATGTTGAAGTTGGGGAAACAGTCAGGAGAGGTAAGAAAACTGGAATAGAAGAAAAATGTAATTGGAGTGACCGCTGATCACACACACAGACACAGACACACACTCATGGGCAGAACAATATTCCTTTCTTTTCACTTGTTTCAAACCGGATGATCTAAACTGGGACTACCCTTGCCAGGTATTCACAGGCTGCAGCTCCCCAGAGCTCCCTTCCTGTGCTGCTCTGTTCATGGCCAAGTTTCTACTTTAAGTTAATGGTTTCTAAACTTTATTCTGTTGTATGCCCCATTGGTAAAATATTTTTGAGCATGTACTCCTACCATGTTATATTCATCAATTATATGCACTTTTGTGTGCCTAACTGTATAATACTATTTATTAGCAAAGGTTTTCTTTTCTCTTTTAGATAAAATAAATATAGCCACACATCTGTCCTCTATAAATGGAATCAGACTTCCTTGTTTGCTAAGTCATCTTACCCTGGCCCCAACGTTCCTGATGTCTCTGTCCCTTTTCCAGTCCTTTAAGGAGCATTTTTGGGGCAGTGTTCTCCTGGTCCACTCTCTTCCCATTGCATGGGCTGTGCTGGCCAGGGACTCCTTCACCAGTAAGGCCTCACGGACAGCTCTAGCCCCTGTGTTCCCTCTTAAGTTTCAAAGACCTTTATCCTCTTTTCTTAGAATCTACATCACTTGGAGAGGAAAGAAAGAACTTCTTGGTTGAATGCTACTGACAACACTAACTCTCCAAAGTCGAGATATATCTTTATAGAAATTCTTGTTTCCATTTCAACTGACATACCTAAGATGCAGGCTGCAACCAATATTTCCTACTGGCTTATCTAAAAAACTATCTTGGTGCTGTTTATGATGGTGAAAAACTAGAAATAACTTAAATGCCTAAAATAAGGAATTAGTTAAATAAAATATAGTATACCTAAAATATTATACCACAATTACACATATACATTGTAAAAATATTGAATAATATGGGGAAATATTTGGAACTTATTATTAGGTTTCAAAAAGCAAGTTAAAGAATGTGTGTAGTAGAAATTGTTTGTAAAAGAAAAAAAGAACTATGTACATAAGGATAAAGTCTGTAAGGAAATATACCAACACAGTAGCAGAAGTTATTTCTAGGTAAATTAATTATTAGTGATTTTCATTTCCTTCTGTTGCTTTTGCTATTTTCCAAATTTGAGTTCATTGTCATATATTATTTTTTATAATAAGATAAAACATGCTATCCTTTTTTTTTAATACAAAGGAATAAAAAATTATCATTCGAGACTATTCTATTGAGTTATCTTAGACTTTGGGGGAAAAACGTTAACTATTTTGTGCCACAACCACAGTCAAAAAAGCCTAGCCAAAAATCCTGGCTAGGATGCAGTAGGCAAGCAGACAGACAAGCAGGTTATTTTCCTGCCTGCCTGCCTAGGGACAGCACATTGGCAGCTGGCATGGGCTCCCAAGTCCAGAGCACCCCACCCCCTACCTCTTTCTGCTTGGCTTATCCTTGAAGGGTAGGAAGAGGGAAATGTGGAAAATAAGTGTGCAGCAGGCTCAGGAATATACCCAGGGGCCAATCCCAGCATCTAAGTAAGAGTACAGAAACACACCCACTTCAGTTCAATTTTTGCCCCTGCAGACTTACCAAGAGGGCTCTGGGTGCTTATGCTTTTCATTTGAGCATGATTTCTCATCATACTAAGGTCACTGGGTGGATGTGTGGCCTTCTATCTCTGCCCGTCTTTTGGAATTCACCAGGAAAGCCCACATTAGTTCTCTGGTTCTGTTTGTAGAAACACGTCACTCGTCTCTCAAGCAATACAGTCCCTGGCCCTTAGATCTGGACCCTTGAGCAATCACATCAACAAGTTGTGATGTGTGATTCTTTCCATCTAATGTGATTCTGATACAACTAGCAGCTGGAGCTTGGACTCCTGAGAAGGGTTGCCTTAATGAGTGGCATGCTTGCCTCAGGGGTGGACCTTCCAGGGAAGTATTGTTCACCTCCCCATCAGGACAGGCCTTTCCTGGGGTGTTGGGATGGATTATAGATGTCCAGTGAACAAGGAACCCCTCCTAACTGAACCTCATGGGTCTGCCCACAGGGAGATAGGGAGATAGGCATGTGGAGCAAGGAAAGAAGGACTGGCTGGGGGAGCAGAGGCCTGGCTCTGGTCCCAGCTCTGCCATTAGGAGCATCACTTTACCTCTCTGGGTCTTGAGTTCCTCATCTGTTAGGTAAGATCTTAGACTAGATGGTCAATAAGGCCATTTCCTGCTCTAAGGCAAGGCTTAGGCATATCCAATACAAATGATGGCCAAATACCTGGCATAAAACCTGTGAGGCACAGAAATCTCTACCAGCCCAGGGAGAGAGACCCACCTCCTAAGGTTTGGCCATGGTTTCTGGAATCTAAACAGCCCAGTGATTCAGGTCACACTTTGTACCACAGAGCCAAGATAGGATCATTGCCTCCAGAAACCCTAGTGTTTTCTCTGGAGGAAGGAAAGAGGAACTCCTGGCCCATCACAGCAGCTGAACTTGTCAGATTAGATTCTAGAGGTTCAGGAGCCTGAGGAGGGATCACAGCATAGAGATAAAAACTAGTATTGGCAAATTAATGCTTCCTCCAGCCCCCAACAAGATGCCCCGATCCCTAGAACCTGTGAAGATATTACTTTATAGGGCAAAAGGGACTTTGCAGATGAGATTGTCTTGGATGATCTGGGTTGACCCAGTGGAATCACAGGGGACCTTAAAAGGGAAGGAGGGAGGCAGGAGAGTCAGTGTCAGAGAAGGAATGTGAAGAAGGAAGCACAGGTCAGAGAGAGATGGAGATTTAAGGAGGTCACATTGCTGGATTTGAAGATGGAGGAAGAAGCCGTGAGAGGAAGAATGGAGGTAGCCTCTAAGGGCTGGGAAAGAAGAGGACAAGGATTCTACCCAGAAGCTCATTCAGAAGGAACGCAGTTCCACCAACCCATTTTAGACTTCTTACCTGCAGAACCAAAAGATAATATAGTTGTGTCATTTTCAGCCCCCCACTTTCTGGTAATTTGTTACTGCAGCAATAGGATACTAACACAGCTGGCCTTGACCAAGTCGGCAGGAAAATTGACATGCTCTTGGGGCCAGGGCCAGGGCCAGGGCTTACCTGGGGCACGATTCTAGAAGGAACAAGGCTCAGAGGACTGATGGGGACTTCAAGACAAACTGACTTACATATATTGAAGGTATCCAATGAATTCTGGCTGGAAATGCAGTCCTTAAACTGTCTCCTCCACTATAAACAGAATAAACTTCTCTATGGACAAGAAATGGGAAAGAAATACCCAAGGGGACAAGGAGCTGAGGCCAGAAATAAGGAGATGCATCTGGGAGTTTGGCTCTTGTAAGGCAAGAAGTACCGAAAGCACCTCCAGGGAGGGTCCTGGAGAAGGCACATTGCTAGAAATGGGGCACCTGGGATAAGGCTACTACTTTACCTGTAGAGAGAGCCTGAAGGTGCTGTAACAGCTGCCAAGGGCTCGGTTTCTATGAAGCTCCTGTCTAGGGTGGTTGGAGGAGGCAGTGAAACTACACACACAGGGGCTGGGGTGAGCTGCCAACTGGCTCATAAATGAGCCCCGTTTCCTGTCCCAAATGAAACTGGCAAGAGTTGCAGACTGTAAAGTGCTTCTCCAGCCACAGTCACAATTGATTCCTATAATATAGCAAGATAGGTATTTCTAAGTTGTAGATGATAATCGAAGATGAACTAGTAAGTTTCAAAGAGAGGAAGCTGAGTCTTTCTCATTCATTGCAGTGTTCCAAGAGCCTAGCCTAAGCCTCCATATAAAATAGGCATTCATTAAATATTTCTTGACCTATAGTTAGAAGCTCGGAGAAATGAAGTAAGAGGTTCAAATCTCCAAAGCCAGTATATTGCAGTCAGATATTCAATTCCAGTTTTTGAACACCCAGTCTTATGTTCTTACCATTATGACAAGCTCTTCTTAAAGCACAGTGCTTCCCAGGCCTGTGCCTACAGAAGACTCACCCTCATTAGATATCTGGCAGTACATTCAGAAGTTTGGGGCATCTCCCAGATACCAGTGATACTGGGGTGTCCGCTTTGTCCTATGACACAACCAAATTACATCAATTGGGGTGTCTGGAAGTGCCGTGTCTTCAGAGGGGTCTTGGGAAGCCCACTGTCACCTGTGTCTTCTTTGCAGATGGCCAGGTTGAGGAGTGCTGTCCAAGGCAGCCACAGCCTAAAACTTACCAGCCATCCCGGCCACACAGAGATGCAATCCATGTGAGGAAGTGGAATCGATTACTGCCACCAGCTAAGCTGTTTATAGTTTCCCTGCCCTTTTAGAAATGGAAGGAGCCCTGTGCTGAGAGTTGAGTGCTGGGTTGGCGTTGGCTGACACGTGACATCAGACCTCAGTCTCTAAATTGGTGAATTGAGTGGGTGGGACTAGATCATCTATAAAAGTATGTGGAGCTGTCTTTTTGCTTTCCTTACTTCCTCGTATTAAGAAGCTTTTATTAATGTTATCTGAGTTTTTTAGCCTCACTGATTTCTATATATCAAATAATACAGATAAGACACATCCTAAAGAAAAATGGGCTCTGCTTAAGAAAAGTCATGAACCACTCTGAATTTATGCTTGAAGGGATTTGAAAGAAAGCCGGGACCTTGCAAGAAAGAATAAAATAAAATTCTTTTGAATGGGGATAACTACAGAATTATTCTACTTAGAGTGGAAAGATAATCTTTACTCATTCAAGATAGAGAAAGACTGGTTCAACGTAAGTTGAAGAGGGATCTGGGGGTCATTTTACCTCTGTGGCTCCCTTTCCTGACTTGTTATAAAAATCAATCAAAATAATGCACAAGAGACCATTCTGTAAACAGGAAAATGGCATAGTGGAGTAACACACAGCCCTGCCTGACAGCAGTCAACCAGCCACAGCAGCCTGAAGCAAGTGGTGCTGCTCTGTCTTGATTTAAGGATCTTGATCCTACAAAGCAGGCTTACTGGGCCCAGGCATTCACATATAACATCATATCTGGGAATGGGGGGTGGGTTAAACTCAAAAATTTTGGACATGACAAAGGATTTGCTGAGAATGAGGAGCCCTCACCTGAGGCAGTAATCATGCACATTTACAAATGGAAGTGCAGCAAGCTTGAAAGAATACACAGGGCTTCAGATCTCACTGTCCAGCTCTTTCTACTAAGTGATTGGTGAGGACCTTTAACCTGCATAGCAAAGGTTGTGGTCAGGTTATTCTTATCTAATGCATTATGGTCCACTTTGAATTTTCTACATCTTGCTTTGGGATCCTTACTGGTGATTCGTAGTCATTTTTTTTGTTTTTGTTTTTGTTTTTTGTTTTTCTTTCTTTCTTGAGACAGAGTCTTACTCTGTTGCCCAGGCTGGAGTGCAGTGACACCATCTCAGCTCACTGTAACCTCTGCCTCCTGGGTTCAAGCGATTCTCCTGCCTCAGCTTCCCAAGTAGCTGGGACTACAGGTGTGCGCCACCACACCCAGCTAATTTTTGTATTTTTATTAGAGACGGGGTTTCATGATGTTGACCAGGTTGGTCTCGAACTCCTGACCTCAAGTGATCCTCCTGCCTCGGTCACCCAAAGTGCTGAGATTACAGGTGTGAGCCACCATGCCCAGCCTTCATGCTTGATCAAAGTACCTGTGTTGAGTATTACTCGTAAGTACATATGTTGAGTATTACTCCTTTCCTAGTTGATTCTTATGGAAGCTGTTAGTATTTGGAAATATGCGAGATGCTGTGTTTACTTGTTAATGAATCTGATAGCATGCATAGTGTGGCAGCTCCCTGTGTCTCTTTTCTGGAGCACCATGACTTGTATTTGTGTTATATTTGGCAACCTCCTTCTTTCTGTTGTGATCAGCATTTGTTGCATCTAGAGGCAATGAAGGAGGTATTTGAAATATTTTGCTAAGAATGGTGAATTATTCTTAGGCAAGGTGCCTACAATGAGAATAGTCTTTCGGTTATATATTGCCATGACACTAAAGTAGATAGACATTAAATTTACTTCTGCAACAACAGCTTGGGATGCCCCTGTTTAATCCCCTTATATCCAATATTGCTTCAGCTAAGCAAACATAAAGTATTATTAAAGTATCATTATGTAGATTAAATAATCTTCCTCTCCTAAGAATTATTTTTCTTCATTTATTAAGACAACACATTGATACCCAAAAGGAATTCATTCTATAGTGGTATGTACCCAGGCAGTGCAGTGTGGGAGAACTCAGTGCAGTCACTGCTATCTCTCCCATGTCCAAGCTCTAAACACAGATTATATCCTATTTGGAGCCTTTAACTGTAAAATAGGTCAGAGCACTGGGAATATAAAAAAAAGAGTCATCAAAATAATTAATGCTTTCAAAATGAGGATTTGAGAGAAGACAGGAGTCTCAGTGCTTTTGGCTAGGCAGTTCTCTAGAGAGCATCCATAATTGCCCAGCCCTCAAATGAGTGCTTCATTCATTTCTCTCATTTTTGCTGTCTGTTACTTTTCCATCTCTCTTCTATCCCAGTGTTCTCTCTTCCTCTTCCCTCCTCAATCTCTTTGCCATCAAAAGCCTAAAGTATTCTTCCCATCAACAACTCTGGAAACAGAATAGGCAGAACCAGCAAGATTGGCTGACATACAGACTAAATGGGCTGGCCCTACTAATAAAAACAAATTCAGACACCTGTTGGTCTTTTGTGTGACACATATATAAGGACAAATTTAGGAAACATTGCTTGCTAGAGAAACAAGCTTAGTTGCCTAAATTGATAAGAGAGGTGAATTCCAGAAGCCTGTGGGAATGAGGAAATAATTAAATAGAGTAATATTTTTAAAGTAAGCTGGATCAACTGGGTTCTGTGCTCCTGAGATCAAAGACAGGATGAAAACTCAGTGTCCTTCAGAAGGAAATCACATGTCTAGATGGAGTGAAATAAAGATGAGGTTGAGGGGGGGAAGGGGGTAATGTACATGCCCAGGGGGGTTGTAGGTGAAAGTGATAATCTCAGAGGGAAGTGGGATGGGGCTGGGATAGGGAAAGAACTACTCTGCTAGCCTGAGGCTCCATTTATGGCTGCATATATTCCCAATGGAGATAGGACAGAGTCTGAGGTAGCCACAGCCTTTTAGCCAATCCTACGGTTGTGTATATGCAGAGCAGACACTCAAGAACTAAATGGCCTGAACATTAAAGTGCATTCCTCCTCCAGATTTTTAAGACCTGACATACGCAAAGCAAGAAAAGAAACACATTATCTTACCTATACACAGATCTATTGACAGATGACAGAAGTCTTACTGACTTAAGGAATATAAGCCCATCATCTGTAAAAACATTTGCCAATCACTAAGGAACATAGGAAGTACCCATAGAAATCCAGGCTTAAAAATCAAAACAGCTGGGTATGGTGGCATATGCCTGTAGTCCCAGCTACTCCAGTGGCTGAGGCAGAAAGAATGCTTAAACCCCGGAGTTCTGAGCTGTAGTGTGCTATGCTGATAAGTGTCTGCACTAAGTTTGGCATCAATATGGTGACCTCACAGGAGCAGGGGACTACCAGGTTGCCTAAAAAAGGATGAACTGGACATGTCGTAAACAAAGCAGGTCAAAACTACTTTGCTGATCAGTAGTGGGATCATGCCTATGAATAGCCACAGCACTCCAGCCTGGGCAACATAGCAAGACCCCATCTCTTTTTTATTAAAACGTAAAAATAAAAATAAGCACCTGAAAAACAATCAATAGAGACATCAGCCTACACACACTGCAGGGAAGACAGACTTCACAGATAGAACCCAGCCAAGTTACTAAATGAAGAAACAAAACTAACAAAGATAGCAAAATAAAACAACTATAAGAACAAGAAAAGAACCTATGGCAGTCTTCAGAGGGAAATATCAGAATCCAGAATTGCTGTAATACATTTTCTAAAATGTTCAGTTTTAACAAAAATGAGAATATATACAAAGAAATAATACAATGTGACTCATAAGAAAACAAAAAGCTAATAAAACTTTCTGAATGTCCTCAACTATTGGATTTAGAAAATAAAACCTTAAAAGTAGCTATTATGAATATATTCAATTAAAAACAACAAAAAAGTTTAAAGAAATAAAGAACAGCATGACAACAATGAGCAATAATAACTGAAAAACTGAGAATTTGACTGGACAGAAAAATCTTTTAAAAAGAAACCAAAATGGAAAATCTTGGGTTGGAAAGTGCAGTAACTAAAATGAAGAATTCACTAGACCAGCTCAACAGCAGATTTAAGAAGGCAGAAGAAATTTTAAAATGTGAAGACAAGCCAGTATAAATTTTTCACCCTAAAGAACAGAGAGAAAAATGTTTTAAGAAAAATGTTCAGATCCTAAGAAACTTCTGGGACAACATGAAGTGTTATAATATGTGTTTAATAGAAGTCCTATAAGAGAGAAAAGAAAAGGGGGGCAAAATTTTTTTGAAGAAATAATGGCCTAAAACTTGCCAAATTTGGTGAAAAAAATCAATTTGCACATCCAAGTGCCTCAGAAAATCCCACCTAGAATAAATACAATGAGATCTACATCTAGACATATCATCATCATATTGTTAAATGCCACCAAAGATCTTAAACAACAAGAGAACAATAGCTTATCATGTACAGGGAATATTGAAATGATTAATGGCTGACTTCTTATTTGAAACATGAAAGACTAAAAGACAGTGGAACACATATTCCAACATGTTGAAAGATAAGAAAAAATGTCAACAAGTTTTTGATATCAAGCAAAACTAACCTTTAAAAATAAAGACAAAACAAATAATTCCCAGAAAAACAAAGACAGAGAATTTGTTGCCAGCAGACCTGTTTTACAATAAATACTAAGGAAGTGTTTCAGGCTGAAATGAATCATACCAGGAGCTAACTTGAATCCACGGGGAGAAATGAAGAGTACTAGAAATAGTAAACATATGGGTTAATATAAAAGGCTTAAACAACCTTTTTCTTATTCTTCTCTTAACATCTTAAAAGACAAAATTATGTAAATCCACAATTATAAAACTATATTGTTGGGTTGATAACATATATAGATGTATATAGGACAATAACAGCACAAAAATGGAGAGTAGAATTAGATTGGAGCAAAATTTCTATATTTTAGTAAAATTAGGTAATATTAATCTTAAATAGACTGTGATAAACTAAGATGCATGTTGTAATTTTTAGAGCAATCACTAGGAAAATAACTCCAAAATGTAAGAGAAAGAAACAGAGAGAAAAGAAAGAAAGAAAAAGCAAGGAAGAAACAAAGGAAAAAATGAAAGAAAATAAATAAACGATTAAAATGGTACGCTGAAAAGTATTCAGTGCTGAAAAAAAAGGAAGAAAGATACAGAGGAACTAAAAAACACACAAGATCAGAGATTGTCAGACTACATAAAAAGGAAGATGAAATGTATGTTTTCTAGAAGAGGGACACTTTAGACTCAAATACTCAAATAGATTGAAAGTAAAAGGATTGGAAAAGAGATATCACACAAACAATTAACCAAAAGAAAGCTGGAGTGGTTGTATTAATATCAGATAAAATTAAGACAAAAATATACTAAACAGTATATTTTATAATGATAAAAATGTCAATTCACCAGGAAGAGATAACAATTATAAATGTATGTGCATCAAACAACAGGGCCACAAAACACATGAAGCAAAACTGTTAGAACTGAAAGGGGAAACAAGACAATTCAACAATTATAGTGGGAGATTTCAATAACTCCCAAAAGTAGAACAACTGGATAAAGAAGGATATAGAAGCCTTGAGCAATAACATCAACTAACTCAACCTAACTGACAAATAAACACCTTTCCACCTAACGACTACATAATACAAACCTTTCAAGTAAACAGAGAACATTCTTCA
Source organism: Homo sapiens (assembly GCF_000001405.40). Classification (NCBI taxonomy): domain Eukaryota; kingdom Metazoa; phylum Chordata; class Mammalia; order Primates; family Hominidae; genus Homo; species Homo sapiens. The sequence goes on along the minus strand of NC_000002.12, from coordinate 29,678,816 downwards.
ATATAGACCATATGCCAGGCCATAAAGAAAGTCATTAATTTATATAAAATTATACAAGTATAAAATTATACAAGTAAAAAATCAGTATTATATAAGTAAAATTAAAATTAAATTTAAATTTAATTAAAATTAAAATTATGCAAGTAAAATTTAAAAAGTATATCCTTCAATCACAATAAAACAAACTAAAAGTTGACCACTGAAAGAAATCTCAGAAATCCCTGACTATTAGGAAATTAAATAATGAACTTCTAAATAAACATCAAAGAAAAAATCAATTGCATGGGAAATAGAAAATATTTCACCTGAATGAAAATTAAAATAAAACATATTAAAACTTATGAGATGAAATTTAAAAGTGCTCAGAGAAAAAAAAGTATAGCTTTGAATGCCTATATTAGAAAAAGAGTAAAGTCTCAAATCTATAACCTAAGTTTTTATTTTAAGAAATTAGAAAAATCAATGAAAACATGCGATGTAAAAGCATGCAGAAGAAAGGAAATAAAGATTGAGTAGAAATCCATGAAATAAAAAAGCAGTAGTAAGAATCATTGAACCCAAAAATTTGTTATTTGAAAAGAATAACAAAATTGATAAACCTTTTATTCAGATTAATCAAGTAAAAGAGAGAGAAGACACAAATTACTAATTCAGGAATAAATGAGGGACCATCACTCTTGACCCTAAAGAATTTAAAAGATTGTAAGGGAAACTAAACATCCTTTTGCCAATATATGACACCTTAGATATGACAATATATGACAACTTAGATAAAAGGGACAGATTTCTAGAGACACACAAATTACCAAAACCAATTCAGGAAGAAATATTAAAATCTGAATAGACTTATAACAAGTAAAGACTTGAATTAGTAATTGAAAATCTACCCCAAAAGAAAAGTCCAGACCCAGGTGCCTTCATTGGGGAATTCTACCAAATACTTGCAGAATAAATTATGCCAATTATTGACATATTCTTTTAGAAATAAAGGAATGAATACTTCCCAACTCATTCTATGAGGCCACTCACTATTCCCCTGATCCTAAATCTAGGAAAATAGATGTGACAAGGAAAGAAAACCCCTGATCGATATCCCTCATAAAAGATGGGTGCAAAAATTCTTAACAAAATATTACAAACCATATTTAGCAACGGATGAAAAGGATGATACACTATAACCAAGTGGAATTTATTTAGGATTGCAAGGTTGGTTTAATATCCCAAAATCAGTTGATGTAATATACCATGTTAATAGGATAAAGTACATAAGCCGTTTGGCTATCTCAATAAACACAGAAAAGGCAGTTGATAGAATCCAACATCCACTCATGATCAAATTTCTCTATGTACTAGGAATAGAAGGTAATTTCCTTAACCTAATAAAGAGCACCTGTGAAATACCCATACCTAACAAACAACATAATAATGAAAGACTAAAAGCTTGTCTCCAAGATTAAGAATAAGGGAAAAATACTTGCTTTCATCACTTGTAGTGATTGAGCCTAGCCAATACAAAGGAAGGGAAGGGAAGGGGAGGGGATGGGAGGGGAGGGGAGGGGAGGGGAGGGGAGGGGAGGGGAGAAGGAAGGAAGAAGGGAGGGAAGGAGGAAGGAAGGAGGGAAGGAGGGAGAGAACCAAAAACATGCAGATATACAGATTGGAAAGGATAAAATAGGGAGGGAGGGAACTAAAAACATACAGATATACAGATTGGAAAGGATAAAATAAAATTGCCTTTATTAGCAGATAAGATGAATTTTAGGTAGAAAATCCCAAAAGAATTCACAAAAAATGAAAGCTAATTTAACAAACAAATGAATTTACCAAGGCCACAGATACAAAATCAATATTAAAAAACTAACTGTATTTCTATGTTCTAACAACAATTTCCAAAAGGGAATTAAGAAAGTAATTCCACTGACAAGATCATCAAAAAGAGAAAATAATTAGAAAAAAATTTAACAAAACAAGTGCAAGCTGCATACATTAAAAATTGCATATTGCTGAAATTAAAGATAATATAAATTAAAAAAAGAGACATTACATTTTGGAATTGAAAATATCAATAGCTTCAAGATGGTATTTCTCCCCACATTGATCAATAAGCTTAATGTAATTGCTATCAAAATTCCAGTAGGCTTTTTTATTTCGTAACTTAAAATTTATATGGAAAAGACCTGGAATAGACACAATATTTTTTCAAGGAACAAATTTGGAGAACTTCTACTACCTGATTTCAAAACTTACTATAAAGCCAAAGTAATGAAGACAGTGTGATATTAAAGAAAGGAGAGGCTTATATACCAATGGAACAGAAATGAGAGTCCATAAATACATGTTTAATTTATAATCAACTGACTTTTGACAAAGGTGCCTGAGGTAAAAGAAATGGTGCTGGAATAATTGGATATTCATTTACAAAAAAATGAACTTAGAATATGACCTCATACCATACACAAAAATTAACTCAGAATTTAAGAGCCAAAAGTATACAGTTTCTACCCAAGAAAATGAAAATGACAGAACATCTTTGTGACCTTGGGTGGGGAAAAACGTTTTTAGGTATGATGCTAAAATCACAATCAATGCAAGACATTGATAAATTGTGCTTCATCAAAATTTAAAACTTTTGTGTTCTAAAAGACACCATTAGGAAAATGAAAAATCAAGCCACAAGACTGGGAGAAAAATTTGTGAATCATACATTGCATAAAAAAGTGTATCCATAATATATAAACAACTCTTACAAATCAATAATAAGACTAAAAGCTGAATTAAAAAATAAGATTCAGGCCAGGTGCCATCACCCACACCTGTAATCCCAACACTTTGGGAGGCCAATGCAGGAGGATTGCTTCATGCCAGAAGTTCAAGACCAGTCTGGTCAATATAGAGGGGTGCCATCTCTACAACAAAATTTTTAAAAAATAAGATTTATAAAACTTACCTCAAGGGGATTTAATAAGAATTAAACAAAATAATACACTAAAGCTCACATTGCACATACACTAAAGCAAACATTGGCACAATGTTTGCTACACAGGAAATAATCAATGAACAGCAGCAAGAGGTATACTCAGAAAGGTATACTCATTATTTTGTAAATAAACAAACTGAGCTGCAAAGAAGGTAAAGAATTGTCCGAAGACATACAGCATGTAAGCAGCAGGCATGGATCCAGCTGTAACTTTCAGTATCTAAGAAAAAAAAATTCACAGGTGATTTTCACACTGGATGAGGGAAAGATGTTCCCCTGGGCCATCCTATCCTTCAAGGTACTGAGGGTTCGGACCTCCCCCTGGTCTCTGTCCCATCAGGTTTTGCTGGTAGGGAAGGTTGGGGGCAAAGGAAAAGGAAGACGCAGGCTGCCTTTAAGGGGAAACTCTCAGGATCTCACAGTTGTCACTCTTTCCTTCACTTGATTTTCAATAACTGTTTAAATATTATTATAGTTCATTGTCAGAATTATGTGGAATAGAGAAAAAAATAGAATCTGCTTTAAATGTGCATCAACAGTGAACTGGCCAAATTAATTAGGATGGATCCATAAAAAATTTAATTACAAAAGCAATGTATATTTTTAAAAATGTTAAATAAATATTATATACACTAACATGGAAAAATATTGATATAGTTTAATGAAAATGTAGGTTGTTAAACAGTATGCATATTATAGCCTCATTTTGGTTTGTATATGTAATTTAGGCATAGAAAATGTCCTGGAAGCACTAGCAAGACTAATAAAGAAAAAAAGAGAGAAGAATCAAATAGACGCAATAAAAAATGATAAAGGGGATATCACCACCGATCCCACAGAAATACAAACTACCATCAGAGAATACTACAAACACCTCTATGCAAATAAACTAGAAAATCTAGAAGAAATGGATAAATTCCTCGACACATACACTCTCCCAAGACTAAACCAGGAAGAAGTTGAATCCTGAATAGACAAATAACAGGATCTGAAATTGTGGCAATAATCAATAGCTTACCAACTAAAAAGAGTCCAGGACCAGATGGATTCACAGCCGAATTCTACCAGAGGTACAAGGAGGAACTGGTACCATTCCTTATGAAACTATTCCAATCAATAGAAAAAGAGGGAATCCTCCCTAACTCATTTTATGAGGCCAGCATCATTCTGATACCAAAGCCTGGCAGAGACACAACCAAGAAAGAGAATTTTAGACCAATATCCTTGATGAACATTGATGCAAAAATCCTCAATAAAATACTGGCAAAACGAATCCAGCAGCACATCAAAAAGCTTATCCACCATGATCAAATGGTCTTCATCCCTGGGATGCAAGGCTGGTTCAATATACGCAAATCAATAAATGTAATCCAGCATATAAACAGAGCCAAAGACAAAAACCACATGATTATCTCAATAGATGCAGAAAAGGCCTTTGACAAAATTCAACAACCCTTCATGCTAAAAACTCCCAATAAATTAGGTATTGATGGGACGTATTTCAAAATAATAAGAGCTATCTATGACAAACCCACAGCCAATATCACACTGAATGGGCAAAAACTGGAAGCATTCCCTTTGAAAACTGGCACAAGACAGGGATGCCCTCTCTCACCTCTCCTATTCAACATAGTGTTGGAAGTTCTGGCCAGGGCAATTAGGCAGGTGAAGGAAATAAAGGGTATTCAATTAGGAAAAGAGGAAGTCAAATTGTCCCTGTTTGCAGACGACATGATTGTATATCTAGAAAACCCCATTGTCTCAGCCCAAAATCTCCTTAAGCTGATAAGCAACTTCAGCAAAGTCTCAGGATACAAAATCAATGTACAAAAATCACAAGCATTCTTATACACCAGCAACAGACAGAGAGCCAAATCATGAGTGAACTCCCATTCACAATTGCTTCAAAGAGAATAAAATACCTAGGAATCCAACTTACAAGGGATGTGAAGGAACTCTTCAAGGAGAACTACAAACCACTGCTCAAGGAAATAAAAGAGGATACAAACAAATGGAAGAACATTCCATGCTCTTGGGTAGGAAGAATCAATATCATGAAAATGGCCATACTGCCCAAGGTAATTTACAGATTCAATGCCATCCCCATCAAGCTACCAATGCCTTTCTTCACAGAATTGGAAAAAACTACTTTAAAGTTCATATGGAACCAAAAAAGAGCCCGCATTTCCAAGTCAATCCTAAGCCAAAAGAACAAAGCTGGAGGCATCACACTACCTGACTTCAAACTATACTACAAGGCTACAGTAACCAAAACAGCATGGTACTGGTACCAAAACAGAAATATAGATCAATGGAACAGAACAGAGCCCTCAGAAATAACGCCGCATATCTACAACTATCTGATCTTTGACAAACCTGAGAAAAACAAGCAATGGGGAAAGGATTCCCAATTTAATAAATGGTGCTGGGAAAACTGGCTAGCCATATGTAGAAAGCTGAAACTGGATCCCTTCCTTACACCTTATACAAAAATCAATTCAAGATGGATTAAAGACTTAAACGTTAGACCTAAAACCATAAAAACCCTAGAAGAAAACCTAGGCAATACCATTCAGGACATAGGCATGGGCAAGGACTTCATGTCTAAAACACCAAAAGCAATGGCAACAAAAGACAAAATTGACAAATGGGATCTAATTAAACTAAAGAGCTTCTGTACAGCGAAAGAAACTACCATCAGAGTGAACAGGCAACCTACAAAATGGGAGAAAATTTTTGCAACCTACTCATCTGACAAAGGGCTAATATCCAGAATCTACAATGAACTCAAACAAATTTACAAGAAAAAAACAAACAACCCCATCAAAAAGTGGGCAAAGGACATGAACAGACACTTCTCAAAAGAAGACATTTATGCAGCCAAAAAACACATGAAAAAATGCTCATCATCACTGGCCATCAGAGAAATGCAAATCAAAACCACAATGAGATACCATCTCACACCAGTTAGAATGGCAATCATTAAAAAGTCAGGAAACAACAGGTGCTGGAGAGGATGTGGAGAAATAGGAACACTTTTACACTGTTGGTGGGACTGTAAACTAGTTCAACCCTTGTGGAAGTCAGTGTGGCGATTCCTCAGGGATCTAGAAGTAGAAATACCATTTGACCGAGCCATCCCATTACTGGGTATATACCCAAAGGACTATAAATCATGCTGCTATGAAGACACATGCACACGTATGTTTATTGTGGCACTATTCACAATAGCAAAGACTTGGAACCAAGCCAAATGTCCAACAATGATAGACTGGATTAAGAAAATGTGGCACATATACACCATGGAATACTATGCAGCCATAAAAAATGATGAGTTCATGTCCTTTGTAGGGACATGGATGAAATTGGAAATCATCATTCTCAGTAAACTATCGCAAGAACAAAAAACCAAACACCGCATATTCTCACTCATAGGTGGGAATTGAACAATGAGATCACATGGACACAGGAAGGGGAGCATCACACTCTGGGGACTGTTGTGGGGTGGGGGGAAGGGGGAGGGATAGCATTGGGAGATATACCTAATGCTAGATGACGAGTTAGTGGGTGCAGTGCACCAGCGTGGCACATGTATACATATGTAACTAACCTGCACAATGTGCACATGTACCCTAAAACTTAAAGTATAATAATAAAAGAAAAAAAAAAAGCAGAAGCCACTGTATATTTCCTGCAGAAGGTATGCAGGGAAACAGAAAATGTATGAAAAAACCTCCCTAAATAAAAGACATCTGAGACTCTAATTCAAATGAAAAAAAAAAAAAGAAAATGTCCTGGAAGCATGTATACCAAACTATTATTGCCAATTACTTTTGGAGAGTAGAATTTTGGTTGGGGAACTAGGAGGAGAATACATTTTTGTATCATTAGAATTTTTACATATTTATTTTGTAATTAAAAACTAAAAATTTCTTTAAATATTTATATCTAAAAATGCTATTTGCTTTCTATTAAGAAAAGGAGACTTCCAGTTTTAAAATGGTGGTGTAGAAGCAAGCTGGTTTTACTCCCCACACCCTGTAGAAAATCAAAACCAAAGCACTGAGATTTTCACTAGCAACACTTGAAATTCAAACATGAGGATCAGACAGGTCCCAGGACCACAGAGAAGTGAAAATATTCTAAGCAAGTAGTAGGAGAATCAGACTTTCACATCTGTGACACCCCTACCCCACAATTTTCCTGGCAACAAGTTCATAGAAAATCTTTCCTCATTCACAATTTCTACACTGGAAAAACTGAAATTGAGGTGGTCAACCAGCTTCTCCACCTTCTTAGGGTCTCTTTGGCAGGAGATCTGTCCTTCCCTTAATGCACAGGAAGCATTGTGATTGTCTAAAGGGAAAAATATCCCTAAGGATGGGCATAGGCAAAGGTAGGACTGCCGTCTCCAGCCATGGAAACTCTACTCTGTAACTCAGCCAAAGGAGATGCCAAATCAATGTGGCTGTTCAGCAGCATCATGCTTAGGAGGCACATTTCACAGGTTCCCTGGGCACAAACTGCTAGCCAGCCTTCCCACACTACTGGGTAATCTCTTTGAGACCTCCCCCATTTGGAACAGGCAGCACTTTGACTATTTATTAGCGCAGAGGTGAACCTGGGCTTCACGTGCTACTTAGAACCAAAAAGGAGGCAGCAACCTATAGGTAAAAATTTGCTAAGCAAATATATCCAATAAAAAACAAAACAGGCCAGAGAGAGAAAACTAGAATAAAAAACTGATCTTTCAATGCAAAGATATAAACACATACCAACACAAAACAACAGCTAACAGGGAACCATGACCTACCAAAAGGACAAAGCAACAATACAGTGACTGACCCTAACAAAGTGGCCATTTGTGAGCTCCCTGACCAATAATTAAAAATAGCATTTTAAAGGAAACTTAGTGATCTCCAAGATAACACAGAAAAGCAAATCAAAAGTTTATCAGAGAAATTTAACAAAAAGATTGAAATAGTTTTTAAAAATAAAACGGAAACCTTAGAACTGAGAAATACATTTGCTGAAGTGAAGAACTCATTAGAGACTCTCAACAGAAAAATCGGCCAAGCAGAGGAAAAATCAGTGAGCTCAAACACTGGCTATATGAAAATACACAGTCAAAGAAAAAAGAACAAAAAGGAATGAAGATTGCCTGTAAGATATAGAAAATTATCTCCAAAGACCAAATCTAAGAATTATTGGTGTTCAAGAAGGAGCCAAGGAAGAGCAAGGGGCATAAAGTTTATTCGAAGAAATAATAGCAGAAAACTTCCTCAAACTTGGGAAATATACAAATCCAAGGTCTATGAACACCAGAATCAACCCAAATAAGACCACACCAAGGTATATAATAACCAAACTCTCAAAGTTCAGAAACAAAGAGAGGATGCTGCAGTCATCAAGAAAAAAAACTGAAATAACATATAAAGGAACTCCAATTCATCTGGTAACAGACTTCTCAACAGACTTCTAAGTAGGCCAGGAAGGAATGGAATGACATTTTCAAAGTGCCCAAAGGAAAAAAATTCTGCCTTCCAAGAATACTGTGCTCAGCAAAATTATTCTTCAACTATGAAGGAAAGCTAGTCCTTCCCAGACAAATAAAAGCTGAGAAACTTCATGACCACCATACTCTTCTTAAAAGAAATGCTAAAGGTAGTTCTTCAATCTGAAACAAAAATAAACACTAACATGCAAAAGAAAAACATTTCAAAGTGAAAAACCCACTGGTAAAATTAAGTACACAAATAAACCCATAATACTGTATTGTAATTATGGCGTGCAATTCACTTATAACTCTAATATGAGGCCCAAAAGACAAATCTGTCAAAAACAATAATAGCTACAGCAACCTGTTGAGAGATAGGTAATATAAAAATTTGTAAATTGAGACAACTAAAATTCAACATGTGGGGGATATGGAGTTAAAGTATAGAATTTTTTTTTTAGTTTTTTTTTGCCTTTGTTTTTATTCTTCTATTTGTGATCTAAGATAAGTTATCTCTTTAAAACAACTTATTATTATCTATAAGATGTTTTTGTAAGCCTATGGTAATCACAATGTAAAAACCTATAGTAGAATCACTAAAAATAAAAAGCAACAAATTAAAACACACTACCAGAGAAAATCACTTAACCACAAAGGGAAATGGTAAGAAAGGGAGGATCTTAAAACAGCCAGAAAGCAGAGAATAAAATGGCAGTACTGAGTTCTTATTATCAATAATAACACTAAATGTAAATTGTCTCAATTCTCTAATTAAAAGGCATAGAGTGGCTGAATGGATAAAGAAATAAAATTCAGCTATATGCTGCCTTCAAGAACCCCACTTCACATACAAAAGACACACATAGACTGAAAGTGAAGGGGTGAAAAAAGATATTCCATGCAACTGGAATCCAAAAAAGGACAGGAGCAGCTATATTTATATCAGGTAAAATAGACTAAAAATCTAAGACTGTAAAAAGAGACAAATAACTTACTATATAAAGTAAAGGGGTCAAATTCAAGAAGAGGATATAACAATTATAAATATCTATGTACCTAATATCAGAGCTCCCAAGTATATAAAGCAAACACTAATAGATCTAAAGGGAGAGATAGACTACAGTCCAATAATAGTAAGAGACTTTAACACCCCACTTTTAGTAATGGACAGATCATCCAGACAGAAAATCAACAGAGAAATAACAGTGTTAACTTACACACTAGATCTAATGTGCCTAACTGATATTTGCAGAACATTTCACCCATCTTTGCTGATATGGTTTGGCTGTGTCCCCACCAAAATCTCATCTTGAATTGTAGCTCCCATAATTCCCATGTGTCATGGGAAGGACCCAGTGGGAGGTAATTGAATCATGGGGGCAGGTCTTTCCTGCTGTTCTTGTGATAGTGAATAAGTCTTACATAGCGTAAAGGGGAGTTCCCCTGTACACACTCTCTCTTGCCTGCCACCAAGTAAGATGTGCCTTTGCTCTTCCTTTGCCTTCCACCATGATTGTGAGGTCTCCGCAGCCATGTGAAACTGTGAGTCCATTAAACCTCTTTTTCTTTATAAATTACCCAGTTTTGGGTATGTCTTTATTAGCACCATGAGAACAGACTAATACATGTGCAGAATAAACTAATCAACACGTGGAATATTCTCCAGAATAGATCATATGTTAGGCCACAAAACAAGGCTGAACAAGTTCAAAGAATTCAAAATCATATCAAGTATCTTTGCTGCCCACAATGGGATAAAACTCTAATAAGAAGAGTAACCTTGGAAAATACACAGACACAGAAATTAAACAACATGCTCCTGAACAACCAATGGGTCAATGAAGAAAATAAGAAGGAAATTTTAAATTTTTTGAAACACATTAAAATGGAAATACAACATACCAAAATCTATGGGATATGACAAAACAGTGCTAACAGGGAGTTTATAGCAATAAATACCTATGTTTTAAAAAAGTAAAAAGACCTCAAGTAGACTAATGAACCCCAAGGAAAAGCAAGAATAAATCAAACCCCCAAACTGAAAAAAATAATAAATACCAGAGCAGAAATAAATGAAACTGAGACTAAAAAAATACAGAAGATCAGCAAAACAAAAAGTTATTTTTAAAGATAAACAAAATTGACATTTATCTAGACTAAGAAAAAAAGAAAGAATACTCAAATAATGAAATTAGAAATGAAGAGGGGGACATAACAACTGATACCTCAGAAATACAAAGAATTATTAGAGACTATTATGAACAACTATATGCCAGCAAATTGGCAAATCTGAAAGAAATGGAAACATTCTTGGACACATACAATCTACCAAGATGGAAACATGCAGAAATAAAAAACTTCAATAAACTAATAATGAGTAATGAGATTGAAGCAACAACAAAAACTCTCCTTTCAAAGAAAAGCCCAGGACCAGATGGTTTCCCTGCTGTTGTGTAACAAACATTTAGAGAAGAATTAATACCAATTTTGCTCAAACTCTTCAAAAAAATTGAAGAGGAGGGAATACTTCCACATTTATTCTATGAGGTCAGCATTACCCTGATAGCAAAACCAGACAAGGACACAAGAAAAGAGAACTACAGGCAAATATCCCTGATGAACATAGATGTAAAAATCCTCAACAAAATATAGGCAAATCTAATTCAACAATACATTAAAAATATTATTCACCATGACCAAGTGGGATTTATCCCAGGGATGCAAGGATGGTTCAACATACACAAATCAATAACATATCTTACACCTAGAAAAACCTGAGGACTCCACCAAGAAAGCATTTGATAAAATTTAATGTCTCTTTATGACAAAAATCCTCATCAAAGTGGAGATAGAAGGAACATACTGCAAAATAACAAATGCCATATGTGAGAAACCCACAGCTAACATTGTACCGAATAGGAAAAAATTAAAAGCCTTTCCTCTAAGGAATGGAACAAGGTAAGGATGCCCAGTTTCACCAGTTTTATTTAACATAACACTGGAGGTCCTGGCCAGAGTAATTTATTCAGAGAAATAAATAAAGGGCACCAAAATTCAAATTAGTATAGCCACTATGGAGAACAGTAAGAAGTTTCCTCAAAAAACTGAAAATAAAACTACTATATGTTCCAGCAATTCAACTACTGGGTGTATATCCAAAAGAAAGGAAATGCATATATCTAAAAGACATCTGCACTCTCCTGTTTATTGCAACACTATTCACAATAGTCAAAATATGGACTCAACCTAAGTGCCCATCAATGGATAACGAAAATGTGTTACTTATACACAATGGAATACTATTTAGCCATAAGAAAGAATAAAATCCTGCCATTTGCAGCAACATGGATGGAACTGAAGACAGTTATGTTGAGTGAAATAAGCCAGGCACAGAAAGACAAATATTGCATGTTCTCATTTCTATGTGGGAGCTTAAAAAGTGGATCTCATGAAGATAGAGAGTAGATTGGTGGTTACCAGAGGCTGGGAAAGGTAGGAGAAGGGGGGTGAAGGGGAAGAATATATACATATATAGAAACTATATTATATATATAGTTATTACCACTTAACTGTATACTTAAAATAGTAAAGACAGTAAATTTTATGTGTATGTTTTACCTTAATTTTTTTTAAAAGAATAAGTTACTTGCTTAAAGTCACATGGCTAGTTAATGGCATGCTCAAGATTGGAGCTCAGATCTGTGTCTTCAGCCCATCATCCTCTTTCAGAATAGTCCTGGATGAGAAATTAGGAAGTTCTTCTGGATCATAAGGTCATACATGAATAATTGATTCAGTTATCAAAAGAGGTCTCAGAATCTCCTGTTTGGGAGACACTGAGTAATGAGTACTGGTCTAGAATGGTTTAGAAAGGAGATGAGAGCCTTGAGGAGATACAAGGGCATTGATCAAGTGACTTCTGGGAGCTCCTTTCTTATTCTATGACTCAACAGAGTAAGAAAATACCATTTTTTTGATAGTTTCAAATTAGGTAGCTCATTTTCAAAGCAGTGGGGAGAAAAAAAAGGGACCCTAGAAACGACCATCTAGTAATTCAATCCCTGTTAATATAGTGGAACAAATATTAAGAGGAATAAAATACTATCTAGGATAATGGAATTATGAGCAATAAGCATTATAGGTTTTAAAAGAACAAATCATGCCAGACAAAGTTGATTGCTTTTTTGATGAGTAGACTAACGGAATAGAGTAGATGTAATACATCTTGATTTCAGCAAAAGATTTTATAGTGTCTCATGAAATTTTACTCAGGAAATTAATTGAAAATGGCCTAGAGATGAGCACTGTTGCGTGAACTTCGGCATGGTGGCAGGACAGCAGAAGGGAATGAGAAACACCCATGCATGAGAGTAGGGAGACATGGGGCAGGGAATTTCAGGTCAAGGGTTAGTTCTATTTAATTATTTCATTACTTCTCAGGAACAAGAGGAGGTTGATCTTACGTAAGTGAAATTCATGGTATATCTTATCTGTGTGCTTTAATGAAAAAAAAAATCATTTGAAAGCTAGCAAGTCTACGTAGGTTCCAATCCCAGGCTTAAACTCATTCTGGGTCCCAGGGGAAGCCCTGTTGAAGCAAACAATATCAAGTAGGCCAATACTTAATTTCAACTCTAATTCTGAATGATGAAGTGGGTGTAATGTTCTTAGCCAAGAGCTCTGCCTATTCTTGTGACCATGCCCTTGTCACTGTGTCCTATCCTGCATAGGCCCCCTTTCAACCTCAACACCTGGGAGCCCACCAAGAACTCACAGCCTGGTACTTAATGCTATAATAAGTTATTTAGTACCTGCTATGTTCCAGGCCATGGTAGGCATAAAGGATAAAGGATGCCATAAATACATAAGACGTAAGGATAGTTCATGGTTTGGAGTAGGTGACAGACACATTAAACTTGCTGTGATTATTGCTGTAATCAAGTTTAAACAATATTTTATGAAAAAAATACAGTAGGCTCAGAGTAACATCAGATAGGGAAAAGCGGGAGGTTAGGAGGGTCAGGGGTTGTGGAAGCCAGCCTCAAAGAGGAGCAGAGGCCAGGCATGGTGGTTCACGCCTGTATTCCCAACACTTTGGGAGGCTGAGGTGGGTGGATTGCTTGAGTCCAGGAGTTTGAGATCAACCTGGTCAACACGGAAAAACCCTGTCTTTACAAAAAATACAAGAATTATCCAAGCATAATGTCACAGCTACTTGGGGGGTGGAGGCAGGAGGATCACTTGAGCCCAGGAGGTCAAGGCTGCAGTGAGCTATAATGGTGCCACTGCACTCCAGTCTGGGTGGCACAGTGAGAGCAGGTCTCAAAAAAAAAAAAAAAGAAAAAAAGAAAAAAAAGGATGTATTTTACCAGGTTCTCAATGGAAGGCTAGATTTTTATATAGGATGGGAAATGAAAGGGCAATGTAGCCAGAGGATAGACTGGTGGGCAGCCTTGGACAAGTTCTGAACCTCCGTAAGTGATATGGAAGACTATTATAGTAATCATGTCAGCCCTAAGTTGTGAGGACGAAGTGAAAGGTTGTCTATATAGAACATAGCACCATGCTGAGCACAGAGTAAAGGTTCAGTAGTTGGAAGCCATTATGCTGTCACTCCTGATAGTAGGACCTGGGACAAGGTGGGGTGGAGCTGGGTTGCAGCATGAGGATGGAAAGATAGGTTTAGAACCAGCTTGTGAAGAGGACTGTAAAAGTCATATTAAGAAACCCAGACTTTATTGGGCAGACAATAGAAGGACATAAATATGGGGGTAACTTGACCAGCCCTTCTTTTGCCAAGATTGCTCTGATAGTGATGGAAGAAGAGTATGAGGAAAGGGTAGCCACAAGAAGACCAGGTAAGGGGCTACTCAAGTGACAGATAAAGACCCAAACCTACTCCCAAATGGAAGTGGGAGTACAAAAAGGCTGTGAGTCTGAGGTCTGTTTTGGTAACTAAAGAAAAGAGAACCAGTATTAATTTAATTGTATAGTTTGGACAACTGGGTATTTAGTAACGTCATTATTTTTAAAACAGAGCTCAGAAACAACAAATTTCAAGTTTGGTTTTTCATAATCCCATGAAAAATTTCTTAAGCAGACTTATGCAAATCAACCCTCTGAACCATGGTTGGAATGCCATTTTCATCATTGCCACTTTTGTTGTAGATGTGAGATTTTAGTGGGCTAAGATCATCTCTCCTGGCTCTCAGAGACATTGGCAATTGGAGCAGAGCTGTTTGTAGGAGAAATGTTTCAGAAGGTTTTACCTGGGAAGAACTGGGAAAGCTGTACTAATCAGAAAGAGGTAAATGAGGAACCCAGAAACCAAGGGGGTTCCTAGAGGTAGTACTTTCCTCTCTTTTTGCCCTCTCCTTGTGTTGTTTCAACATAACAAGGAAAGGTTTTTCTAAGTCCCCTTCAGGGTGGTTTCATCATGGAGCAAAATGTTTCTTTGTTTTGTTACTTGACATATAGACAAACACTAGAGAGAAGCATTATACATATACTGACCTTAAACATAATAGGTTACAGACTAGACCTATTAGTTATAATTTTCCTGCATTGTTACATGGAACAAAATTTAAACTTTCACAACTACTGATACCCACAGTTAGATTTTGTCCTATCTTTTTTTTTAAACATTGAACAAAGGAGAATGAAAACTAGTTGAAAATATTGCCTGATTCATTGTCTGTTATGAGAAGATATTCAAATATGTCTTAGACACACAATACAACTGTGAGTCATCCAAAATACAGTCTGGTTCTCTTGAAATTATCCCCATGAGATTAAACTCTATAGAGGGAAATTGCTTAAGGATCTCACTGATGCCATCACTGGTTGTACTCTTTCTTGGGTAAAAGTTGGTGAAAGAATCCGGGAGAGAGAGAAGGAGGACGATGGGAAGGAGGAAGGGAGGGAGAGAAATCATTCTGGACCAAGAATTTTCTTTCAATCTTTTCCTGTAAAGCTTTGACTGATTACGTTTACTTTGACTCACCTGAAGTGATTAATAAGAGTGTGTCTCCATAAAAGAATTTTGGGTCTGTGTAATGAAGACATTTTTACTTAAACTTTTTTCAGTGTCCCTAAGACATAATTACTAGGTCATTTTGAAATCATGTTTTATGGTTGCTCAGGAAGATGAATATGAGGAGTTCCAATGGGGAAATTAGGCCCGTGGTTTAGTCTGCTCTGATTTATGAATTGCCCTTTAAGGAAATACAGTGGTAGTTGAATATAGGCTTATGGGAAGACCGTGTTGTTTAGGAAGTGTGTTCAGTGGAAGGAGTATTAGCCTAATAGTCAAACTGAGCTATGAGTCAATTTGTGACTCAGTCTGATTTATTGTCAATCATCAAACAGCTCTTGAGTCCCTACTATCTACTGGACATTCTTCTAGGCCTGGAGAGCAATACATAGCAGTAAAAGATATGGTACTTATTCTAAGGAGCTCATATTTTTATCAAAAAGATAAGGCACAAACATGTAGCAAGGGTTAAACATGATATTATAAAAGCAGGCACACAAATTTCTCTTGGGAGGAAGCTGTCTTTATTTGGAAAAATGCCTTCACGTGTAGGTCACAGATGTCCATATTTACGCAAAAAAAACAATGAGAGGATATTTCTGGAAAGAAGAGAAGGAAAAGATAGGACCGGTGAAGTCAACTTTGACAGTTTCTTACCAGAGGGTTGTTGTAACTGCAGGAGCTGGCATAACCATAAGGAGCCAGCACCCCTAATGATCACCTTGAGGTTGTTTATATTCCTCGATGTAAATTCTTTCTCTGTATTTATTGCACCTCTCCTACCCAAATCTTATAGTGAACACACAAATGGCCTTGCAATAAGTAACCTTTTGGATGAAACTTAAGGAAGGGGCCAAATTTCACTTTTGGGGCAACTTATTATAAAACATACAGGAAATTGGGTCAAATGAGACAATTCATGAATCTGAAGTTAGAGGTGGCCATGAGCACCTGGGAGTTTGGGAAATCTTCATGAGAATTTTAGACTTTCACAAGGTGCAGAATTGGAGGTTCAAACTCATCTTCCTTAGACCTCAAAGGGCAGGGAGGCTGGCCCCGGTCAACTTTTAGTTACATATGTATTAAAAGATATTGATAGGCCGGGCGTGGTGGCTCATGCCTGTAATCTTAGCACTTTGGGAGGCCGAGGTGGGCAGATTGCCTGAGCTCAGGAGTTCAAAACCAGTCTGGGCAACATTGTGAAACCCCGTCCCTGCTAAAAATACAAACAAATTAGCCAGGCATGGCAGTGTACGCCTGTAGTACCAGCTACTCGGGAGGCTGAGGCAGGAGAATTGCTTGAACCTGGGAGGTAGGGGTTTCAGTGAGCTGAGATGACACCGCTGCCCTGCATTCCAGCGACAGAGTGAGATTCCATCTCAAAAAAAACAACAACAATAAAACAAAACAGATATTCATAAAAGACACAGTATGATACTCCATAAACATATAAGAGTTCAACAGATAGGGCATTTCTTACATTGGCCTCTGTTGGGCCTCAGTTTTCTGCTATGCCAGCTCTAAATGACACAGATTGGCCATTTTAGTAAGTGTGTAAGTGGAGGATAGAGTGAACACAAGGACCAGAGTCAGACTGCTCGAGTACAAATCTTGGCTCCATATTTATTTACTGTATAATCTTCAGAAAGTGACTTTATCTCTCAAGTGTGCCATGCAAATAGACAGTCATACCTTATAGGATTTTTATGAGAATGATGTGATTAATATATGACAGGTCTTAGAACATCACCTGTTAAGACCTAAACAATCATGTTATTTTTCTTGTTAGAGTTCAAAGTGATTGCACACTTACGTGTCCTCTCAACATTGACATAAACTATTCTTATCCGAATCATAGAAGTGGAAATATCATTCAATGAAAATGCAATGAGCCAGATAGTGTGGTGAGTCCTGGAGTTGACAATCATAGCATCAGTGCAAAATGGCAATGCCTCTCTCATCTAATCTTCTGGCCTGTTAGAAAGCCCCTAACTAGGTAGAGAGGAGAAGCAGGAGGGTTAGCATGATGCACTGGAGACAGTGAAGTCAGACCCGTCTGACTCTGCTTCCTGTAGCTGCATGACTTCCATTGAGATGCTTAATTTCTCTGAATCTTGGCTTTATTACCTTTAAAATAAGAATAATAATATCTTGTTTTAGGGTTGTGATGAGATTTAAATGAGTCAACATATATAAAATCCCTAGAAGAATGCACAACACTCAGTAAGTATTGGTGTCTTCAGTCTCTTTCCGTAACTATGTTACAAGGAGCCAGAGAGGAGCAGAGTAAGTGCTTTTAACTGCCCAGGAAGATGTCCGGTGTGAGTACTTCATGGGAGAAGTCAACCAAATGAGAAGTTGAGGGAGCACTACGGTTTCCATGAGGGCATTGTGTGGTCTCCTTCTTCTATGCCTTTATGGCTAATGCAGTACTTCAAGGTAGAATTGGGGAGGGTCGTTTAATCACATTCAGGAAGAGACATAAGTTATGAAAATGCAAGGAAACTAAGAAGACCCCAAAGGAAAGAAAGCTGTGAGCTTTGGAACAGCTGTGCACATTCCAGCTTTCCATGGCCCCCTGCCTGTCTGCTTGCCTCTACTCACTCTTCTGACCACCCCTTTTTCCCCCTTTCTCCCCTCTCCCTGGGCCGTTTCTCTCCTCTTTTCCTCTCCCCACCTTCTCCTGGTTTCCCTCATCCCCTTTTCACCCTGACTTCCTCATATGTATCTTTCCTTCTTTTCTTTCTCATCACACCCCATCTCCACCACTCCCCTCCTTTAAAAAAGAGGGAATTGTGTGAGGCATTGGCCTGGGGATTGGTGGAGTTGAGTGACTGGCATCCAGGGGCTGGCCTTGTCCCCACCAGTGATTTCCTCAAGAGGGGCCTTGAGAGGGAGCAGCTGAACCTCAGCATATTTGCCCACCTGTCTTGGCAACTCTTCTTGTTTCCAGTTCCTCTGAACAAATTGGGCACAGATCACTCAGGCTTTAAAACGTTATCTGGTTTGTGTTCACAGTCAGTCCACAGTAGAGCTGTTACTGCATTTCCTGGGCTAGGATTTAACATGACCAGTCAAGAAGCGTGTCTGTGGGTGCAGAGTCTGACTGGGCCCTGGGCCCAAGAGGAACCATGCTGGACAGAGGGACTGTGGTGGACAGAAGGACCGTGCTGGACAGACTCTTGGTGCCCCCATTGTCCATAGCACATCCATGGCTTATTTGGAAAGGACAAGGCTTCCTTCCAAAATTGTACACATTAGAGGGCTATTTTATTTCATGTCCCGAAAGTGGGGTATCACTTTTTAAAAGATGGAGTCTAGCTAATAATAATTAAAAACTGGATATATAAGAAGGGGCATATTAGGGTAAGGTAAAGGGAGAAACAGCAGAGCTGGGAGGGGAGAGATGAGAGCAAAGGAGAAAGTTGGAAAGAAGGTAAAGTACAGCAGACAAGAAGAGAAGGAGGCAGGGAGAGAGGGCTCCTCTAAGAGATTGATGGTAATAAATCTCTTTTCTTTAAACATTATCCGGTCTGTAGTATTATGTTATAACAATACAAGACAGAATAAGACAATCTGTTGTGTTGAAGTAGACCCTCAGAAATGCCTGGTCTCTGGGGACAGATGTTGCAAATGTAAAGATGGGTTGGTTTATGTGGTAGGCTGGTAGAACTCTTTATTTGTTTAATAACTTTGGTCCAGCCCCAGCCCTGAGAGAATGGATGATTCACTTTGCCTCCCCAAATGTCAGTCCCTGTTGTATAACGTAGTGCTTAGAATGCCCTACGCTTCTTAAGGGGCTGCTCACAGAAAGTGTGTGACCAGGTTTTGTGACCAGTTGAGAACCTGGACAGTGCTGTCACAATAAATAGCTCACCATGGAGACCCTATGCCATCTCCCCAGCCCACCTTCCCCAGGCAGAACAGCCCACTCC